>NC_000007.14:151125046-151276561 GCF_000001405.40 Homo sapiens
GTGTCTTTGTGCAGGACAGACCCTGCACAAACCTGTTGCTCATTTGATCCCCTCTCTCCGGGCACCTCCTTTGTGGGGGACCCTGCTAGGTGACGCCCTCTGCTTTGGGCGTAGGCTCCTCAGCTCCCTGCTTGGAGATGGGGAGTGCAAGGGAAGGCGTGGGCGGTGAGTGGGTGTGTAGACACACTTCACCGAATTCACTACGAAAATGGGACCACTTTCCTTGGGGTCCTACGTGCTCCCTTTCCTCACTGGTCGTCAGGGGCTGACTTATTTGTTCCCTGAATCCCTCACATGGGAAGGAAGGAGACATGTTGGGTTGGGGAGGAAGCCCTGTGAACTTGAACCTGGGGTTCTGGTCCAGTCTTAGAGTTAGTAGGTCACTTGGGTGTTTTCACCCCTAAATCTCAGGGACGCTCAGTAGGAAGGCCCTCTAGCTGCACAGCCCAGAGTGGTGCCGCCAGCTGGGGGCAGGTGTCAGAGGCCTGTGCCTGATGCAGTGACACCCTTTAGGGGGTGCCCGCTGCTTCCCGTTCTGTAACGATCGCTCGCTAGGGGCGGGGCGCGTCCGTTCTCTTCTTCCAGCCTGGTGGCCATTCCTGGCGCTTCCCCGCTGCCGCCGGTCCAGCCCCGCCAGATCTGCAGCCCCTCCTTGCTCCGCCCTCCTGTCCCGTTCTCCCGGTTCTATTCCTTCCCCTCCCCCCAGCTCCTGCTGGGAGTGGAGATTGCATTTCAGTTGCCATTTGCATTCCCAATCAATCCGGACTCCGCAATTAAGTCGGCTGGCGGAGCTGGGAGGGAGGCGGCGGCGGGAACGGGTCCTCTGGGGGCTGTCGCCTCCGCGCCTCTGCGCCGTTCCCATTCCGCCCCAGATTGCTTCCTGCTCCGCCGTGCGCAGCCGGCCGGCCGGGGAGGGAGCAGGAACCCCTGTAGCTTCTTTGGAGAGGGAGTGGGAAGAGGCACGGGCTAGGCGGGTTTCCTCCTGTCCGCTTCCCGGGAGCGGGCGGGTGGGTGGGGTGGGGCGGGGCTGAGCGGCCCGGTCGTTCCGCCCGCGCCCCCGGCTAACGAGCGTCATTACAGCGGCTCCCTCGCCTCCGCCTGGGGAGGGCGTTGCCGAGGACGGGGGCGTTCAGGGTGGAGGAGGGACCCCCTCCCCGATCACATTCTCTGCGAGGAGGGAGGAGCCACACGTGTCTGGGTCGGAAAGGAGGTGCGGAGACCCCTTCCCGCCCTGACTGTCGGAGAAACCGCGCGCAGTGCAGGCCTTGAGGGGCTCCACCTTCCAGGCCGCTGGAGATGGGAGCAGAGCGGAGCAGAGCAGAGCGGAGCGGGGCGGGGCGGGGCCGGCCGTGGAGTCTCCTGCTGAAGGCTGGGAGAGGCTGGGAGAGGCTGGGAGAGGCTGGGAGAGGCTGGGAGAGGGAAGCACGCCTAGTGGGGTGAGGGGAGTCGGGACGGGGGCGGGGAGCCGGGTCCATCCCTCACACTTGGTTATTTCTTTGGTTTGTGTGCTGGGGGCGGGGCGGGGGGTATTGGGGATGACTCCAAGGCATCTCCAGAGCCTGAGGGACTTAGAGCCTTCGAGCACGCTAGTCCCATGGCTGGTCGCAGCGGGAGGGGGAACAGCTGACTGCTTCTGAGCTCTCAGTGCACCTGGCCCCTGGCCAGTGACAGGAATACCACACCCAGAGGCAGGTCACCAAGGCCCAGCCTACCTGGAAGACTCCTTCGCAGACCAAGAGGCAGGGCCCGCTTGCCTTGTGGAAGGTCCCCTTAGTGCCGCTAGTTTTCAGAAACCCCTTTTGAGGATAGGGTCTCCCAGGCCAAGGGGGCCAGGTAGCAGGATGTGTCTGCACATGGCCATGTACTTCAACTCCCAGCCCGCATGCTCGCACCTCCAGCAATGGCATTTGGCCCTGGTGTGGCCGGAGGAGGAGCAGCAAGAATGTGAAACGTGCTGGAAAGTCAGCAATTGATGTCACAGCTGCTGGGGCCGCTGGAAGTGGGTGCCCTTTCTGGCCTCCCCCTCACCTCCTGTTGGGGAGGGAGAGGTCCAGGAAACGGGAATCTCTTATCCTAATGGCATCCATCTAGGAGTTAGCCTTCTATTAGGAAGAACTTAGAGGAGGAAGGTGCAGTTGAATCCAGTATTTACCCCCCACCCTTGGGCGTCAGGACCACGAGCTGCAGACTAGGGACTGCCGTTTCCTTGTGCCTGCATCTCTTAGTCCCTGTGTTGTTGGCTGTCTTCTGGCGGGGCCCTCCATTCCTAAAGGAGATGCCATCGCGGGGCCTCTTCCCTCTCTGGGCGCCCCCTCCTCTAAGTATGGGCAGAGTCCGCTTTTTCAAGTCTCCCTGCTGGGGGTGCTGCCCCTTCCGCTCTCCCAGCTGAGGGTGAGCCCCACACTCAGCCCCCAGTTTGTGGATCTACCTGTGCCCCTCTTCCCCCTATGCTATTTTTGCCTTGAAGTCTCCAGGGAGCACTGCCTCTTCTCAGCCCTCTTGAGTTGGGGATTTTGGAGGATGGGGGGCCATGGATGGTGATGCTGGTCCTGGATCTGCCCCTGGTCTCCATCGTGGCGCTCCCTGGTCCTGAATGACCCCCGCCTCCCATTCCCAGCTGTTGCCTTGTGTGTGTTGTTTAAGGGAGAGAAGCTGAGCCAGTGAGAGCATCTTTAGAGGGTTCTCACTAGAGGAGTAGGTTTCTCCTGGGAAGGAGGCCACAGCTGTGGTTGAGCATCGTCTCCTTCTATCTTCCTAGTGGGGTCTACCTCCTGCATTCGTCATCTGACAGCCAGGGTTTTAGGGGGCTTTTCCCCAGTTCTTCCAACATATGTTTACTGGGTGTCAGCTGTGGCCCAGGCCCTGTCCCCGGGGCAGGCTCCTTGTTGTGGCACTTTCGCTCATTCTTCTAGCCATCCAGCCTCTGCGTTCAGCGAGTCTCACTGGCTTACGCGGGAAGTGTGGTTGCTGGGAGGGAAGGCTGGGTCTTCCTGCTGCCTGGCTTGGTGGTCTGGGGGATGCTTGGGACAATTAGGGGATTTTCTGCCCTCTTATGGAGCTACCACAGGGGGTGGAAGGCCAGGAACTTAGCAAAATCTCTGCTGTTTTGACCCTTGGAGCCTCCTGGGGAGGAGCATCACTGATGGCCACTATCTACACCCCTGAGCGTCTACTCCTGGCCGTCTATACCCCTGACTGTCTACACCTCCGATCATCTACACCCGACGGTCTACACCCCTGACAGGCTTCTCCTGTCGAGGTGGCTCCACACACTGGGGAGGGAAGACGCCCACCTGCCGGAACAGCGGTCCAGCTGCTTCCTGATGGATGATGGGGGAGAGCCGAGTTCTGGGGAAGGACTGGTCTAAGGGGCCTTCCCAAGTTCACCGATAGGTCCTTAAAGGCTGCTTTGCTCAAAGTGGCCCAGGAGAAGCGGGGAGGGGGGAGGGCATTGCCTGACGACATCGTGACCTCCTCATGCCCTATGACCTAGGGGGCTGGCTCCTGGTTTCTGATCAGACCTCTGTTCTCAGGGGATCCTGCTAAAGCGGAGCGGCAAGTCCCTGAACAAGGAGTGGAAGAAGAAGTATGTGACGCTCTGTGACAACGGGCTGCTCACCTATCACCCCAGCCTGCATGTGAGTCTGGGAGGAGGAGCCTCCTGGGGGAGTATGGGGAGGGGGTGGAGGGAGGATAACAGAATGCGGGTAGCAGACAGGCTCCAGGATGGACGGGAAGCAGACCTTAGTGATTTCAAATGGCTCATCCCTGGAGAAGGAACCTCACACTGGCAGCTTGGGACATGCACAAGACCCGGCTGGCCCCTCCCTTGCCCTCTGGGCGGTCAAGCTGTATATCCGACTTTCCAGTTGTTTAAGGTGGGGGATTCAGCCACTTCCACAGAATTTCTGGTCAGGGATGCCGATGTTGCCCAGCAGTTGTGTTGAGCTGGGCAGTGCCAGTGGGGAGCTGTGGGCTTCTGGGCCTGGGATGGTGGAGGACCAGGGCTGTTGAGAATGGGCTAGAGCCTCGGACAGTCCTCCTGGGAGGAGAGCGAGGGTGGCCTTGTCTGTGGTTAGGAGGGTCTGGTGGCCACGTGGCCTGTGTCCCAGCTGGGGGGTGTTGTGGTGACTGGAGTGGCCCCTGTGCAGCTCCCCCACCCTTCTTTCCTCCCCTCCCCTCACCGCGTGGCTCCAGCACACAGCTGTCACCGGAATTCATCTCTGTCACCACCCCACTGTGGGGCTAATGAGTTCTCCTGTGAAGCCCCTCCAGCACAGCGCGTGCCCCCCACTGCCCCGCCCCGGCCCAGAAGCTCTGGGCCTGCCTCTGAATCCGCCCAAGGTGTCAGGAAGGCCTGACCCAAGAGGTGCAGGGTCCCTGTGTCCTGGCCATCACCCAGGCCCGAGAGCACCGCCCAGACAGCCCTGCGGAGAAAACTCGCAGAGAAGGCCTGGCCCTCCTGGGCTTCTGGGTATCTGACCATCCTCAGGCAATGGTCCTCCCCCTCAGCTCAGGGGACAATGCCAGTCAGCCGCTCGCCCTTCCTAACACGCCTCACTCCACAGGGCAGGGCCTGGTACCTGGGAGACTGGAGGAGGGAGCACCCACATTCAGTGCAGCCAGCTCCTGAGCTCCCGCCCGACCCCCCCACCTCCCCACCGCGGGCACAGACCTTGTCCCACTCGCGAGTCCTTGCGAGGCAATGAGAGGCAGCCAGGCCTGCTGGGAAGAGCGCCTACCACAGAGGCAGAAAGTATCGTAGGAGGCCAAAGGGCGCTCTGCGGGTACCAGGCTTTGTTACTGTGTACACAGCCCTACACTAAAGGAAGGGCCGGAAGACAAGGGGAGCCCCAGTATTTCCCTGTTGAAAGGCTCCAAGGCTTTCAGGGCCACTCACAGACAGGAAGTCCCAGGTAGGAGTGCTGAGGCCAGGAGACTGCACCAGCGTCTTCTAAGTCCCAGCCTGAGGTGTTTCACGGCCGACACCAGGCAGCTTAGCCGTGCCCTCTGCTCATGTCCAGCTGCCCACCTCGGTGGCGGAGCTTGGGAATGGGCCTGTTTGAAATGTCCATTTCCCCACCTGTGTGGAGCTGCCCTTCCCCTTCCCCCTTTGCCCAGTTCTTACCTGCTCCTTTCTGTTTTATGTGACCCTAGCTTGGTGCGCTGTCTGTGCCCTCTGCCAACAGTGGAGGCAGCGAGGATGAAGAGGAGTGGCAAGGGGTGTCTTGGATGTGGAAGAAAGTGTGGGTTGTGGGGTTGGGCTGGGTTTTGGTTTCAGTAGAGGAAACACAGCCAGCTGGAGAGCAGAGCTCAGGGGGGTTGGTGGCTTTTCAGAGTCACCCGGCTGGTGGCTGAGCTAAGACTTGGACCCATGACTTTGGCTCTGAGCATTACCCAGATTTTTCTGCACTTGCCAAGAGCACCTCCCTCTGGGGCTGGCTGAGAGAGTCATGTAAGAGTTAATAGCAGGGTGAGTGTTGTCAAGTAAGGAGGGAGTTGGGCTTGCCTGCCTGGGGCTAGGGTGGGTGTCTGAGCCCCCAGGAGTGCCCCTCCATGCCGCACTTGTTGCACTGTGCGAGTCTTAGAATTCACCCTGCAAGGCCAGGCCTGGAAGTCCTGGCATCCAGATCCTGTCACAGGCCCCGAAGCATACTGGGCTACACACGGTGCAAAAGCACGAGTGGAGGCAGGGCCGGTTGTGGCTCCGTGCGCTCACAGCTCTCCGTGGAGCTCTGGCAGAGCCCGCTTCACTTTATGTCACGCCGCCACCACCCCCGCCACACTTTCCCTCCCTCCGGGGCTGCCACCTCACCTCCTTCATCTCCCCTGGCCGCCACCTTCCAGCCTGAGCATGCTCTTCAGTTGCCAGCAATGAGCAGGCCACCTCCCTACCTGTGAGCAGCCGCTTCTCTCTGGGGCTCTTCAAACCCTAAACCCTGGCAGGAAGCATGTCGAGGAAGGAGCTCCGGCAACTCCAGAGGCTCCGACAGAACTCTGGGCTGAGCCTGGCTCTCCTCTCCAGCAAGGGTCTCGCCTGAGCCCCAAGGGCATCGGGACTGGTGACTCACCTATGGATGGGGGCCGGGGAGACAGGACACACAGAAGATGAGTTCGTGGGCCAGCCCTGAGCCCCGCGCCCGATTCTCGCCGGCCCAAGAGAGCCCGCCGCAGCCTCCCCCATTTTGCAGCCAGCGGAGCCATTCACACAATCACCTTCTGTTAATTCTATCTGCAACATCAATTAAATTGTTTGTAGAAACTAATTGAATGTGGCTTAATCACACATCTTAATAGCTTTCCACGCTCTGAACTCGTTGTTAATTCCAGTAATAAAACGAGATGAGAACGCTGGCTGGGTAATTAGCGAGGAGGCTGGGGAAGAAATTGCTGTTTGATGGTGGGTAATAAAGGCAGCCGTGGTGACCGCTCTCCTGAGCAGCCGCCACCGCCACCATGCTCCCCGTTCTGCTGACGGAGGGAAACGCTGCTGCCTGTCTGAGGTTCCCATCCCTGCTGATGCTCCTCAAGCTTCTCTCCACTGTCCTCTGGGCCCAGGCTCCAGGGTTGCCCGGGCACGAGGGCGTGGAATCCGGGGCTGTGGGTGCCGGCCTGCCCTGGGAATGTAGAGTGTCTGGCTGGTGCCGTCAGAGATGCTGAAGTTGGGCCGTCCTTTCCCCCGAGGCCAGTTTCTGGCACCTTAGCTCTGAACAGAGTCCCCCCTGCAACTCTTCTTCTTGGCATGGGGTCAGCTTTTCCTGCCATGTCCCAGCCTGGGCATCCCAGGGCTGTCGTGGGGCCTGGAAACTGTTGCAGCTGCTGTGACCTCCTTGTGAACTAGAGCAGCCCAAGCCCCTCCCCTAAGGAGGGACTGCAGCTGTGCCTTTGGCCCAGCCAGCTGTTGACTGCTGTCTGTAGTAGCCGATCTAAGATGTGATTGTGTACAGGGACTGCCGACGGGGACCAGGGACGGGCAGCTGAGTCTGTGGGATGCAAGTGGAGAGGGGGTGAGGCAGTGAAGTCATTGAGTGGACACTGGGCTGAAAGCAAGACAGAGGGCCGGCGGGGCCAGTGGCCTGCAGCCCAGGGTGCTGGAGAAGGATGGATGGAGGTACGCTGGGATGGCAGGAGGGGCTCCTGGGTCTGCTTCCTTCCCAGCCACCTTGGCAAGGCCCCAAGCTGTGGGCAGAGTCCTTCTCCGCCAAGTGTGGGCCGAGCGGTTGTCAAAGAGGTCCTGCCTGGGTGGGAGGCTGCTCACTGATTCCTCGGTTATGTCGTTCTGTGGTTCTGGGACAATGAACAAGACTTTAGCACATGTGTGCTCAGGCCAGGCACTTGGTACTGTCCCTCACAGAGGACTGGGGTGGCAGGAGGGCATAGGTAAGCCCAGGGCTGCCAGGAGCAGCAGTGGCAGGGAGTGTGGGCTCCTTCCTGAACACACCTTCTAAATGTGGCTCCTCTGCTCTGGTTGGTTAGTCCCCTGGTCCTCTTCCTGAAGGGCTGTCTGCCTGGGAAGATGCCATAGCCACCTTGAGAATGAAGGCGACTGCAGGCTCGGCGAGACCCACAGGGCTGGACCTGGGCAGGGAGGCCGCGTGCTGATGCCAGGCCTTTCCACCATTCCCCTGATGGCACGGAGCTGTGGGTGACGTCCAGCCCAGCCACAGAAGTGCAGGCGGAGGCTGGTGTTTGGCGCCTCTTTCCTCCGTCTAGCTGGTAACCTCCTCACCTTCTCTTAGTGACCTGGGACCAGGTGACTCCTTGTCTACCTGATGTCTTCATTATTCCTGCCAGAGGGAGCCCTGGTGAGACTTCCTGCCCTTCCACTGCTTCCCAAGAGGCAGCAGGCCCCCTGGGCTCTTTTCAGCAGAGGACAGTGTCAGTTTTCCCTGGAGCTAACGGGGTGAGAAGATAGAGCCAGCCTGGCGGGAAAGCAGTCTGATGGCCAGTGCGGTAAAGGTGAAGGCCGGGCTCCTCAGGGTAGGAGGAGCGCGTCTGGGAAGGCTCGTCGCACGGCCGCCCTTAGGATGCAGATATTCCAGAGGTGCTCACAGAGGGGAAAGGAGGAGCGGCTTTATGTCCAATCAATGTAATTCAGTCAGAAGTTAAATCTGGCACCACCACCCAGGTTCTTCTCTCAGGAAGGGGCATAGACCCATGGAGAGGAATTTGTGCCACTTTACCAAGGGCATTGGCTAGGAATTGCCGTGGAGCTCAGGGACAGTGACAGGGACAGGGAAGCAGGAGGCAACAGGCTGGGACAGCCCTTAGGGCAGTGTCTGATACTAAACACTTGTCAAACAGTTTAAAGGGAAGCCTCTGGAGGAGAGGCTGGAAGCAGGAGGCCCAGCGGGGCTCCAGGCCAGGAAGCGGCAGGCTCCCACCCTCCCTCCCTGCACTCGGCCGTGGTGCTCCCTAAATGATGGGGGGAGTCCAAGCACAAAGTGGCCCCCCATCTCCGGGGCCCTGACTTGAAAGCAGGGTGAGTCCCGGGCCCAGGACAGGCTGGAGGAAGCCTGCACACAGGGCACAGGCTTGGGAATCTGAAAAACCTTGGCTTGAATCTGACTCTGCTACCATTTAATCGTGTGTTCCTGGGCAGATAAGCCTTTCTAAGCCTCAGTTGCTTCATCTACAAAACAGGCACTACCTCCCTCAGGTGGTGAAGATTACGCGAGGCTATACGTGGAATGTATAAATACACTGCTGTAGGATGGTAAATACCCTGCACGCGACAGGCAGATGACATGACGGCGATGACGATGACTGCCGCCAGGGAATTGGTGGTACCTGTGAGAGCACCTGTTGCTGTATTCCAAAGTCCAGCAAAAAGAATCAGAGGCTTCCTTTTAAACTGTTTGACAAGTGTTTATTATCAGACACTGTCCTAAGGGCTGGGACTATTCTAGGCTTTAGAAGGTTCTTAATGCCCAGGTGGGGGCTGCAGTGCTTGGTGGCCACCCTGTCATCCATGTCCCCGAGTGTCTCCGCTCCCCTCCTCAGCCAGGGGCTCTCCCTAAATCCCAGCCTGGCCCAGCACTTGGCCTGCTTTGTGCTGTTGCCTCTGAAGCCGTTGTTCCTGAGGGCCTGAGCCTCAGCGCTTAGCTCCAGGTCCTTCGCCGCCCCCAACTCTACCTCCCTCCTGGCAGACTCCCCCTAGAGCTGCTTTGAGCACCGTGGAGATCGAGGTGGAATCCAGACTCGGAGACATTCTGTGGCTTAGAATCCTGCTTTTCAAGATTGGAGCCTTCCCTCTCCTCCCACAGCAGGGAGAGACCTAGGAGTTGCAAGGCTCAACGCTGGAGTGACTGCTGCTAACCAGTCTTCATCTGTCTCTCCCACCCGGCCTGCAGGATTACATGCAGAACATCCACGGCAAGGAGATTGACCTGCTGCGGACAACGGTGAAAGTGCCAGGGAAGCGCCTGCCCCGAGCCACACCTGCCACAGCCCCGGGCACCAGCCCCCGTGCCAACGGGCTGTCCGTGGAGCGGAGTAACACACAGCTGGGTGGGGGCACAGGTGAGGCGGCTGCTGAGGTGGGGGCCTGGGGGGTGGCTGCCTTGGAGCCAAGGCAAGCAGGCATTCTGGGCTTGGCTGCTTCTCAGCCTGGGCACAGGGTGCTGGCCAGCATCACACTTCAAGGTCATCTCAGCCAAAGACATGTGCCCTAACGCAGCCCTCGTGGAGTTAGTTGAGGTGACAGCAAATGCCTAGACGAGCAGTTGATCTGGATGTCAGATGGGGCCAAGTAGTGTCATGTTTGGGCAGTGGTGCTGGTGGTCCTAGGCCCATCTCTGCATCTGGATCCGAGGCAGGCGATGGGTGGGGGCCATGCCTCTGGGTGCATGGCCGGCATCTCAGCCAAGGTTGGCATATGGAGATAGGGGAGGTGGAAGGGGACGGAGCTGTCTGAGGTCAACCTGGTGCATATTCTCAGGCCTGAGTGAGAGGCGGGTCTCTGCTCAGAGAGGACTGAATTTAGACAGGATCTGGAGGCAAGAAACTCCAGTGAAGAGCTGTTGCGTTCTTGCCTTTTCAACTGACAGTGCTGGCTCAGGTGAAAGGCCTCCTGTCCCCAGCAACTCCCTAGTGCCGCTTCATTCCTCCTCCTTTGGGCCCCCAGGCCCCATGCTCTTCCAGGGTCCGTCCTTCCACACCCGTTTCCCTCGCTTCCAGAGCCCCTGGCTCCCGATTGCTTTCCCCCAAGACTTCAGTATCCCCAGTGTTGTCCTAGACCATTGGATCTCATGTTCCCTGGGCCCAGTAACAGCTGCCCTGCTGGTGCCATTCCTGTGCCCTGTCCCAGCAGTCAGCGCTTGGCAGCACAGGTCTGCAGCTGGGTGAGTCACCTCCCTAGAGGGCCTGTGCTTGTCACAGTGAGGGGAGGATGTGACAGACTTAGTGGACAGGTGGTTGGGGATACGACATCCAGTCCCCTGGAATGGATGGGAGAGACCCCAAACAATAAAGAATTGTCCCACTCACAAGGCTGATGGGACTCCGCTGAGAAAGCCCAGGTTAGAGGGAAGGAAGGCGCAATGATGCCTCCAGGTGTGGTCCTTGTTGGAGGCAAGGCACCTGAACCAGGTGTGCTGGGCCCACTCTCGCAGAAACACCGTGGACCAGCCCGAAGGCAGGGGAGTGGCCAGGGGGAGGGGCCTGACACAACTGAGATGTACCCTATGCAGTGGATGTCTCTGCATCAGGTCCCAGGTCCTCAGCAGCTGTGAAGTAGAGATTATTGTCCCCATTTTAATGAGGAAACAGAGGCTTGGCATAGCTAACAAACTTGTCTGTAAATTCCACAGTAAGTGGGAGACCTAGGGTTCAACCTAACTGTGTCTGACTTGAAGAGCAATCTTCTTTCCTCTAAGCCACCCTGAGCTCAGAAAGGAAGCCTGTGAGGTGGATGGAGGGAAGGAAGGAAGCTAAGAAGGAGAAGGCCGGCCACCACCCATCATGGGGCTGTGCCAGTGGGGGACCTTGAGCCTGCCGTGGGGTTGTACTGGCCTGATGGCAGGTCACATGCAGTCTTCAGTGCTCTGCCCGGAGAGCGGGTCAGAGCTGCGGGGAGCCCTCTGGCACCGGCCCCCAGGAGCCCCTTTGGTCAGCTTGGGGTTTCTCTTATCATTCCAAAAATGAGGAGCAGGCCCAAGTGAGTCCCTTTCCTTGACAGCAGGGAGCCAGAGGACAGCTGGGCTGTTTCCCTAGAGCAAGGGAAACGAGAAGACGCTGTCCTGTCCCGTTCCTGTCCCTGACATCCCTCACCTGGGAGCGGCAGTGGCATGGAGGAGACAGCCCCGTGCCCTCGCTCCTGTAATGACAGCGCCCACACGCAGGAGCTCGCGGACGGTGCCCACCCAGCCCGCGTCCCGCTGCCGCATGCCGACGCCGACACCGACCCTCGTGCACACTCACACATGTCTCTCACTCACCGGGCGATGTTAACATCTCATTATCTTTGTTACTGTAATTACATTATCCGCTGCTTTATGCAGAATTATCCTCCGAGGACTAATTGATGGCTCCATGTTTAATTCATTAATCATTAGCATCAAATTCGACAATTACAGTGCACACTGATTGTGGGATTGCAGGCGTAATGAGGGGAGAATTAACAAAGAAAAGGGAAAGCACTTTCCCTCCCTCAGGATTTTGGGTCGGGGGCTTGGGGAGGAAGTTGGGCCTGTGATGTCTTTGGATGGGGCTAGGGATGAGGGGGAATAAGATTTGGAACCTGGAAGGGAATGAAAGCAGGGGTGAGGAGAAGCAAGGTATCTGAGAAATGAGGGACCAAGTGTGCACCCCGGAAGGTTTCCTGAGGCGGGACCTGTGAGGGCAGAGGACGGGAGGTGGGTGGGATTCTGAAGAGGCAGCCTCTACATGTTTCTTCGGGGCCTGGAGATGGAGACCGGCCTGTAGCCTCTGTGCTGCACGTATGTGACTAAGCACTTACTATGTGTCTGGTCCTCTTTGGGGTGTTGTGACAGATACAAGAGGAACATAAAACTTGCTCCCTGCCTTTGGGCGTCTCCCAGCAGCAGAGCTGTGGCCCCTTGGGCCATTCCTTTACCTTCCAGCTGCTGCAGCCTGGTGCCGTCTCCCCGCAGGCTTCCCCTCAGTCCCGCCGCCTGCAGGGCTGGTGTGAGACCTGGCGCCTGCCCTTCCCCTGGCTGGGCCTCTGCCTGCTGTCTCCAGCTTTGGCCAGCTCCGGGCCCCTTCTCTGCTTTCCCACTAACCTCCAGCACCTGGCGGGCTCCTCCGCTTCAAGGTTGAAGCACCTCAGGTTCGGCCCCCGTGTTCTTAGACCGCCTGGGGCCATTTCTTTGTGGTCTCAGTGTTGGGTGGACTGAAGAAGGGGAAGGAAGCTTAGGTTCTCGGAGTTCCAACTCAGGCCTTGTACCACAGGCCTCTGAGGCCCCACGGCTGTTCCCAGAATCTCTCCAGCAGGGGCTCAGCCAGGGAGTGAGGTGGGAGAATTGTGCGGCGCTCTGTCCTCCCTCCACTGCCGGCCGCCGCGCCTGCCCCAGCCTTGGCTTTCCTAGAGCCTTCGGTTCCCCCTGGCTCTGCCATTCTTCCCTGATGGGAAACGAAAGATTAATTTTCTCCAGCCCAACAGGATAATTACTAATACTAATTAGACATAATTACTTGAATTTGATACACTTATTTCTCGTCAGAATGGCAGTAAAGCTGAGGCGAAGCAAATGGCATATGTGGACTAGAATGGAGGGTGCAGGGGCCCAAGCCAGGAGGGGCCCCTCAAGGAGCACTGCGGCGATGGGTGTCAGCACCACCCAGCTCGTTCCACAAGTTGGAAGATCTCTGATGCAGAGACCCCCCGCCCCGCTCCCGGACCACAGTGAGGGGACAGAGCTGTGGACCGTGAAGATCTGGGGACAGGCTGCTTCCTAAGGCACACAGGGTCCCTGCGCAGCCTCTGGCTCTCCCAGAAGCTGGCCCGCCACCTGATGAACCCAGTGCCCTGCTGAATGTCTCAGGCTCTGCTCTGCAGCTCTATTTTTAGGATAGTATCTTTGAGAATCCTCCCCTGCCCGGCCTCCCTTCCCAGTCTGACCCTTCCCGCCCCCAGGTGCCCCCCACTCGGCCAGCAGCGCATCCCTGCACTCTGAGCGCCCCCTCAGCAGCTCGGCCTGGGCTGGCCCGCGCCCTGAGGGGCTGCACCAGCGCTCCTGCTCCGTTTCCAGCGCCGACCAGTGGAGTGAGGCCACCACTTCCCTGCCCCCAGGCATGCAGCACCCTGGTGAGTGGTGGCTCTGCTGCTTCCCACCTTTTCTGGGGCCCCAGTGACAGAGAGGAGGGGAACTGGGCAGCATTCTTGGCTTGGGAGGCTGCAGTGGGACAGTGTCCAGGCCAAGGGGTGGGGCCCAGCTGGGCCCTCCTGGGCTTGTCAGAGAGACCCTGCTTCGGGGCTAGTACTGACGTTGTCTTGGAAGCAGAGTAGGGGCACTGTCCCTTCTCCAGCCTCCATGTGCAGCCCTTTTCCCCAGAGCCCCCATCTGCCTGCAGCCCTGCCTGGGGCCGGCGCTAGAGGCCCACCCTCTGCAGCTCCTCCTCCCCTTTGTCCCCAGGCGGCGCTGGTGGTGGCTCCCGCATCCCCATCAGCCCCCCGCGCAGTTAGCTCATCAGCCTCTCGGCAGGGGGACGGGGAAGCGGCTGAGTAGGGAGGTCGGACGGAGGCTGGGCGCTCTAAGCCATGTGAGCCACGTTCCGAAGGCAGCAGCATCTCGCCCGCTACTGTGGAACTGGGGGGTCCCTGTGGAGTTGTCCTGAAAGGTCGTTTTCCACCTGTGCTGTCCCCCTCAGATAGGCCTCCACCCATCCTAGGTGGGTTGGTGACTCCACCGCCTCTCCCGTCTGCCCCTTCCACCTGCTTCCAGGGCTCTTCCGTTTGCCCCTTTGTTCTCTTTCTCTCTCTGCTTTTCTTCTTTTGACCCTACTTGTTACTTTCATCATTGACCACAGATCTGAAGTTCTGAAGGCTCAAAAGGGCATGGAGCCAGCTCTCCTCTCCTGTCCCTTGCGCTTTCCATGCCCTTGTCCTGAGTGATGGTGTAATGACAGGAAGACCCAGGGTGCCCCACTGTCACCCCAGCCATGGGTGCTCTCCCAGCTGATTGGCTTCCCAAAGGCCTTCCCTGAGCCCTCCCAGTAGGAGCCCTGAGGCCCAGCCTCTGAGCTGCCATGGCCTCAGGAGCACGGGCTGAGGGAGGAGCTGGGCGGTGCCAGCACGGGGATCTGCCCCACCTCCCAATCCATGCCCAGCCCACCCCTGGGAGAAGTGAGCTTGGAGCGCATGAGAAGGGGAGCCAGGGGCCCTTCCCTTGGGTCACCGGTCCGGTGGCCTGTGCTGGCCTGCGTGAGGGCCCTCTGTTGAGTCTGGAAGGAGGAAGGCAGGAAGGGAGGGAGCGTGTCTGCCTCTAATGAAGTTTGACATTTAGTGGTGAGCGCCGGGCGGGGTGTGGGAGACGGAGCTTGATTAGCGCGCTCTAATTGACAGTAATTAGGCAGCTCCCTGATTGTTTCTAATTCTGCTATTAATTGTGAGGAGCGGGGAGTGTGATTGAGGATAAATTTGGTGCGGAGCTGCTGGGGCTTCAGCTCCCCGTGAGTTCCCTGGGCTGCCTTCCACCCCTCCAGGCTGCAGAGGCAGCTTCCTCCCTTTGCCTCCATCCTGCTCTGCCTAAGTTTCCTATTCTCTTTCCACATTTTCCTCCTCCAAGGCTGGGGAGCTTTGGGACTGGGAAGCCCAGGCAGACCTCGCCTAGAGAGAGGTGTCCGTCTGGCTCTCCTGAGTGTGGCCCAGCTACAGTTGGCAGGACTGGTCCTCTCCTCCTCCCAGTGCCCTGCGCCCCTCCCCTCCTCTGCCTCCCTTCTTCCCACACTTCTCCAACTCTCCCCTCACCAGCCAGTGGCCCAGCTGAGGTACTCAGTTCCAGCCCCAAGCTGGATCCTCCCCCATCTCCCCACTCCAACCGGAAGAAGCACCGGAGGAAAAAGAGCACCGGGACCCCCCGACCAGACGGCCCCAGCAGTGCTACTGAAGGTTAGGGGGACCCAGAGGGAAACCGGGCACAGGAGGTGGGCAGTGGGACTTGGGGATAGTACCCTAAAAGTAACACCTATTTTTTATTTTTTGTATTCAGTGGATTAAGCACTTTCTAGTAGTTGCTAATCAAAGTAGTTCTACAGCTTCTTTTGGTAATCTAGACCTGGTATCTTAGAAAAGTTCTTCTGATAACTGAAACCCTTTCTGTTGAAATGTGGGCTTACTTCATTTATTCTTAAGGTAAAAGACAGCAGACTGCTACATCAATAGCTCCTCTAAGATGTTCGGGCAGGACCTGTGTTTTCTGTCTCTTGTGTCATACCGAGTTTAATAAAGTGCTGGGTACTTACTAGGTGCGTAATACATGTGTACAGATTGGCTGAGTCTCTCATTAGTTTTCCTTAGGCTAAGGAATTCCAGGTCCTGAAGCCTTCTTCCATAGGACCTTTCTCTTCCTCTATTAATTATACTGCTGCTCCTCAGATTTTCCTCAAAGTATCTTCAAAACCTCCCTCTTCTTGGTGATTGGAGTTTCTTTGCTCCCAAATAAGTTTAACTTCTACAGACTCATAATTTCTCACTTCTGCTCTAATCATCAGGGTAGACGTATGGGTCAGGGGAGCAGAGACACCTAGCCAACCTGTGACACAGTGATGCTTAGTACTTACAGCGTGGGGTCTCCCTTCTGGTCCGGCAGACTAAGCCCCACAAATGATCATGGAGATCACGTAGTTCGAAGGCTGTGGTTGAAAGCAAGGTGAGGCGCAGTGGTGGTGCCTGGGGAAGGAGGCGCCGGTTCTATTTCTGTGGGAAGGCAGTTCTGCTAACAGTCCCTGAGAGCAAGGGCCCAGCAGAGGAGGAATTCCAGGGGATGTCGGTGTCACTGAGGTGAGGCTGCCTGGGGCCAAGATGCAGTGAGGACTTACAAGCAGAGATGGCCTTGGCAGAACTGGGGTTCACCCTGGGGCCTTACCACAGGCACCTGTGCTGTCTTTCCAGCCCCCAGGACACAGTCACACTGCTTGTTAGGAATTGTTCACCCATGGGGCAGTGACCATTGGGAATGAGATTCATGCGGCTGTCTTCTGGGGCCTGGGGGACCAGAGCTTGGAAGAGCTTCACCACATTGCTTGGGTTCACAGTCCAGCCCTCAGTGCTTGTCAGTACAGATGCCCTCAGGCCCCTATTTGCTCACATACTGCAGGTCCTGTAGAAAACCTCTCCTCCTCTCCCCCATCCACTTGCCCTTCCTGCCTGTCTATGCCATGGTAGTGGGGGAGGGGCCCAGCTCCCAGGAGCCCCACGCTGACGCCGTCAGGAATATTGGGTTTAATGAGCTGCAAAATGAGGCGGCTGCAGCTGACATGTACGGATGGTGCCCACACCCGCCTTCCCCCACCCTCTCCCAGTGTTTGCCTCCTAGCACCCCGTCACATCCTTCTCCAGATACTCAGCTCTTTCTGTGGGATGCACCCCTCTCTGGTTTCACACCCATTCCCGGCAGTGCCAGGGGTGCCAAGATCTTGCATCCCCCATCTGTTTTCACTTAAGCTCCACAGGTGGTTAGGAATGAGAACTGGGAGCTCACACTAGTCTTGCAGGTTTACTCTGGCCTCCCCCTGCAAGCTGTCCTGGAGTGTGTGGCCTTGCAGCTGGGGAAGGGTCTAGGGGAGGACACTTGCCAGTGGAGCAGGGTAGTGAGTGGAGTTGTGGCGATAGCATGCCCTGGGTGTGCACGCAGGCCAGGAGCCCTGATGGCATAAACACCCCCCCAACAGAGGCAGAGGAGTCGTTTGAATTTGTGGTGGTGTCCCTCACTGGGCAGACGTGGCACTTCGAGGCTTCAACGGCGGAGGAGCGGGAGCTGTGGGTTCAGAGTGTGCAGGCCCAGATCCTTGCCAGCCTGCAAGGCTGCCGCAGTGCCAAGGACAAGGTGGGTACAGAGTGACTGGGCCCACACAGAGCACCTGGCTGGGGTGGGACTGAAAGGGGCCTCATGACTGACCAACCGCCCCTTGTCTTGTCTCTCCTGCTGTGCGACAGACTCGACTGGGGAACCAGAACGCAGCTCTGGCTGTGCAGGCCGTCCGCACCGTCCGCGGCAACAGCTTTTGTATCGACTGCGATGCACCCAGTGAGTGCAAGGCTGGTGGGGCTGGGAGCTGGGGATGGCCCAGGGAAAGCTTCGCAAGCATCAGGGAGCAGGGAAGAGGGCAGGGAAGCCTTCCCTAGTTGTCCCGCGCTCTGGTGGCCTGCCTGCTGTCGCTGTATCATTCTCCTCTCCTTGCCTAGATCCAGACTGGGCCAGCCTGAACCTGGGTGCCCTGATGTGCATTGAGTGCTCAGGCATCCACCGACACCTGGGGGCTCACCTGTCCCGGGTGCGCTCCCTTGACCTCGATGACTGGCCGCCTGAGCTGCTGGCTGTCATGACTGCCATGGGCAATGCCCTCGCCAACAGCGTCTGGGAGGGGGCCTTGGGTGGCTACTCCAAGCCAGGGCCTGATGCCTGCAGGTGAGCAGATGGTGCCCTGGAGCTGGCCAGGAATGGGGGAAGCGTTGGGGGCTCCCAGCATGGGGAAGATTGGAGTGGCTGTGATGGTATTAGAAGGGTTAAAACTGTCTGTTGCTCTGCTTGGCAGTTGGCCCCTTGGGGGTGCCCCTCCTGCTCTGGTGCCTGTCACTCAGGCGCCTCACAACAACGGGCCCTTTCTGAGCGTTATCAGCAGGTCAGGGGCCAGCAGGAGGCGCATGCGCAGGGCCCCTATCACGGTGTGGTGCAGAGCGCCCACTCCGGAGCTCTGAGATGGGGAGAATGGGTGAGAGATAGGGGAGTGTGTGGCCCCCCAGTGCAGGCCCCCACCCGCTTTGTTCCAGCACTGCCAATCCAAGAGAGTTCAGACGGCCAGATAAGCTGCAACACGGGCCTGCCTGGAATCTTCCTGCCCTCTCAGCCCCCGCATCCCCACTGTCCCCAGGGGGCCTCCCTTCAGTGTCCCTTCCTTTCAGCTTCTCCCACCCCCCTTTCCATTACCCACTGCCCCTCTGTGTGCCTGGAGTTTCCAAGGCTTCTCTCCTTCCTTTTTGCTCCATCTCATCTTCTCTCACTGTTTCTTCCTTGTTCCCCCGGGTGCTCGCTTCCTTTCCTGCCCACCTTCCTGGCCCCACCCGTTGCTCGGTGACCTTCCTTGGCTCATGCCCTGATGGGCCTGTGGTTGCAGAGAGGAGAAGGAACGCTGGATACGGGCCAAGTATGAACAGAAGCTCTTCCTGGCCCCACTGCCAAGCTCAGATGTGCCACTGGGGCAGCAGCTGCTCCGGGCCGTGGTGGAAGATGACCTGCGGCTGTTGGTGATGCTCCTGGCACATGGCTCCAAAGAGGAGGTGAATGAGACCTATGGGGACGGGGACGGGCGGACGGCTCTACATCTCTCCAGTGCCATGGCCAACGTTGTCTTCACGCAGCTGCTCATCTGGGTGAGTCACGTGCCTCTAGCCTGCCCTGACCTCGCTCTTCTTAGCCTTGTTCTTTGAAAGCAACCTCTTCTTTCCTCCCCTACAACCAATCTCTCTCCTCCCATGTCTTGCCAACTGTCAACATGTGTTTTCTCCTACAGTACGGGGTGGACGTGAGGAGCCGGGACGCCCGGGGCCTGACTCCACTGGCATATGCTCGCCGGGCCGGCAGCCAGGAGTGTGCAGACATCTTGATCCAGCATGGCTGCCCTGGGGAGGGCTGTGGCTTAGCGCCTACCCCCAACAGAGAGCCTGCCAATGGCACCAACCCCTCTGCTGAGCTGCACCGTAGTCCTAGCCTCCTATAAGGCCCAGGAAGAGGGCAGAGGGGCCAGAAGGACTCCATGGCCCAAAGACCCTCCTCCCTGCAGGCACTGTGGGAACAGACACAGAGATGGAGAAGCAGGGACATGCTGAGAGGACGAAGCCAAGGAAATTAGGGAGGAGAGTCAAAGGGATCAAGGAGAGTTGGGGATTTGAGCTGCAGCAGAGAGGGATGAGGGATTTAGCCCTCTGCCCTAAGGTGCCATTGAAAAGGGACAGGACCCTTCGGAGGTGCCTGTGAGGAGAGGGGAGCAGGACCTCTCCCTCCTCCAGATCCCTGCCTCCTAGTGCCAGCCCCTCACACGCCTTCATCCTGAAACAGGAAGAGGACGGCACCAAGTTGGGGGTGCTGGATGAAAGAGACGAGGGGTGATCTGTGAGTCCCATGTAAACTTTGTACATTGGAATATTTATGTTTGTGTACATATTTGATGTGTGTGTGTATGATGAGCCAATAAACCAGACTGTGTGCGTGGCCTTGTTTCCCCCTTTTACATCGCTGCCCTCCCAAGCGTGTCCCTCAGCTCTGCTCTCTCCTTATCCCTTTCTTCTCATTGTTTGCCATGTTCTAAGATTTTCTTCCCTCTGTTCGCCTGGGTCCCAGGTGGTCATTCCTCATCCTTCTATGCGCATTGCTTTCTTTCGGCCTTCCCTTGGCAGGGTGTGGTTGAGTTTTCAGCAGCACAGCACAGGGCCCCTGAAGAGAGGACACAGAGTTCTTTGCTTCCTACTGGGTGCTGCCTCCCCCACCTTTAGGCAGCTTTTTTTTTTTTTTTTTTTTTTGAGACAGAGTCTCTTGCTCTGTCGCCCAGGCTGGAGTGCAGTGGCGAGATCTCGGCTCAGTGCAACCTCCACCTCCCGAGTTCAAGCGATTCTCCTGCCTCAGCCTCCCGAGTAGCTGGGATTACAGGCGCCCACCACCACGCCCAGCTTATTTTTGTATTTTTAGTAGAGATGGGTTTTTTCCATGTTAGCCAGGCTGGTCTCGAACTCCTGACCTCAGGTGATCCACCCGCCTCGGCCTCCCAAAGTGCTGGGATTACAGGCATGAACCAGCATGCCCAGCCGTCAGGTAGCCTTTCTAGCTGCTCTCTTCATTTGTCATCAGTATTCTATGTAGTAAGCTTGTTGCCACACCCTGTACTGGCCAGAATGCACCCAGAAAGTGGGCATAAGCATTGCCCCTTTCCTACAAGTCTGGGAATGGCCATACAGTAGGATGTACAGGGAGATACTTGAGTCAGTACCCTGGAGAAGAACTGAGGGTGCCGCAGGTAAGTGGCAGCACTTCTCTCCAGATAGCTGTATTACAGCATAGACTGACTTGTGCCTGGGCTTTGCTTGTGAGGAAAGGGGAGGAGGTAGGTGGTTGACACAAGAATGGCTGCCTTAACTCCCACCATCTTGCCAAGCCAAGCTGGGGGGCAGAATCCAGAGTTCCTGCTTTTCCTTCTGACTGAATCCCTTAGTCCAGAAGGAAGACCTGGGGGAAATGCTTCTCCCTGCTGGTTCTGAAAGGATGAGAACTTGCTAAGTTAGTTAGAGTCCTGGCTCTCTGAGGAGTCTCTTGCTGTCCCATTCCTGGACCCACATTGCTGGTAGCCCTTGTCTTCTCTTTTTTTTTAAAATAAAAAAAAAAAAAACTCCCACAGGCCAGGTGCGGTGGCTTACACCTGTAATCCCAGCACTTTGGGAGACCGAGGTGGGCAGATCACGAGGTCAGGAGTTTTTGAGACCAGCCTGGCCAACATGGTGAAACCCTGTCTCTACTAAAAATACAAAAATTAGCCAGGCGTAATGGTGGGCGCCTGTAATCCCAGCTACTCAGGAGGCTGAGGCAGGAGAATTGCTTGAACTCAGGAGACGGAGGTTGCAGTGAGCCGAGATTGCACCACTGCACTCCAGCCTGGGTGACAGAGCAAGACTCCATCTCGGGGGGGGAAAAAAATTCCCACAGACCTGACATAGGCCCTTTCTAAAGCACCATGAGCATAATATGTTGGGTGTGGTGGGCTGGTGTGTTGTGCAGGTAGGCAAGTAACACTCTTCAGAGAGGAAGCCAGGCTTTATTTTCTCAGCCCACAGCCCCTTTTGCAAGGCTGACACAAACCTTACATGTAGATAGGGCAAAATAGAGACAGGGCCATGGGTATGTGTAGGAATAGGTTCCTGGGCTCCAAATACTAGCAATAGTCACCTCCAGATTCCCTGTGGAAAACAAGCTGCTTCGGCTGGTTGAATACTGCTTT
Organism: Homo sapiens; assembly: GCF_000001405.40. Lineage (NCBI taxonomy): Eukaryota > Metazoa > Chordata > Mammalia > Primates > Hominidae > Homo > Homo sapiens. The sequence goes on from NC_000007.14 coordinate 151,146,209, forward strand.
GAACAGGTTAGGAGGCTTCATAGGTAGAGCCAGAAAAACCCCTGCAGGTTGGGGCCTTGGTTTGAGCTGCTTCTCATCTGTGGCCTTCCTGCCCAGGTGTTCTCTTGCCTGCCACCACAGGGGACACATGGCCACAGAAACTCTGCTCCAGCCGTGCCAGAATGACAATGGCTCCTGTGATCCTCAACCTCTGCCTGGCTTATCTCCTAAAAAGAAAGATCTAACCGCGGCTGGGTGAGGTGGCTCATGCCTGTAATCCCAGCACTTTGGGAGGCCGAGGCGGGTGGATCACGAAGTCAGGAGATCAAGACCATCCTGGCTAACACGGTGAAACCCCATCTCTACTAAAAACACACACAAAAAATTAGCCGGGCGTGGTGGCAGGCGCCTGTAGTCCCAGCTACTCGGGAGGCTGAGGCAGAAGAATGGCGTGAGCCCAGGAGGTGGAGCTTGCAGTGAGCCGAGATCACACCACTGCACTCCAGACTGGGCAACAGAGCGAGACTCCATCTCAAAAAAAAAAAAAAAAAAAAAAAAAGGTTCTAACCCCATAGGTTCCCTGTGAAGGCTGAATCTAAGGAGACTTAGCCTTGATCTAGACCAGGCTGGGAATGGGGCTGGTCTGGACTACATATTTTTAGCCTAATTCTCAAGCCCTGCTGAAATTAGCCAAAAAATAGAGAAGATCTGCCCTAGCTCTGTGTGTCCTAGCTGGAGAACTGTGGTACCATTGTTAATGACCAGTCACGGCTCCAGATTGCTTTGTTTGGTTGCCCAAACCAGCTGGGAGAAATGAGCTGCCAAGGAGAGCTGTCTTGGTCTCGCCATAAGAAGTGTCCAGCACATGTCAGGGTGATGAGACGTTGATAAGTCTTCCATTCCAGGAATCAGGAATAGCCAGAAGCTTTCCCTCTAAGGAAAGTAAGGAGGCCAGGTATTTGAGCTGTACTTCCCTCCCCTTCCTGACATTAATACCTTCATTTCCTGAATTTCTTTGCCTCATTCACAGCCCATTTTTCTTCTCGATGGCTCTGCTCTCTACTGTATCTCCCCTCCCAAATCAACACAGGTCATATTTCTTCCCAGGAAGCCCAGTTACCATGATACCAACTTCCACTGGTTTCTGTGCCCTTTGCCTGCTGTCTGCAGATGGATCTGTGAGCACTGCTCCCTGTGTTCACTTTGTCCACTAATGCTGTTCCAATCCCCAAGCCTCTGCTATGTCTATCACACAAATTCATTCCTGTCCCATCCACTTAGCCATGGCCCCCCTCAACCAATCTTATTCTGTAACAGAAGAGGTAGGGGTATCCCAAGCTTCAAAAATGGTGCAAAGAGGAGAAGAAGAGATGATAGTTAATGCTGTAAGAACAGAAAACTGGAAGTGGGTCCTTCCCTCTAGGCCCTTGCATCTGGAATATCAAAGGGTGGCAGAGACAGACTAAGCTGCCGTGTCTTCTGCATAGAAAACAATTTATTCATGAGCTCACGGGTGATATGAGTGCCCCAGTCATTAGTGACCTCCCCCTAAGTTAGATGGCTTGGACATACCCCACCTAAATGCAACAGGAAGTGAAGTGAATCTCTCCCAAAGTTTTCCAGCTCATCCAAGGAGGAGAAAACAGAGCTGGAGAAGCTTGCCTGTTTAATGGGAAGCAGGAAGAGATGGCACGTTAGGAGCCCGAGGTATAGAAACAAGAGCAAGCGGTGAGCAGCCCTAGTGGAAAAGCATGGGGGTAGAGGTAGTTAACGTGGGGTGGGGGAGATAGGGGAGTGCTGAAGAATTTCTACAGAGGCCAGTGACGGTTGCATTTCATTTCTTTGTAAAGAGAGGCAAGATGGGGCCTACCCCAAAGCAGTAGGACAGACGAACTCTGGCTGAGGATTGAGGAAACAACTTTCCCAATCCCTCTCAGGGGTGCAGACAGACGTACAGAGACAGATAGCTCCATATATACACATTTACACAAATAAATAAGGAGCTGCGATCTACTTGGCTAGGTATCGCCTGTTCCCTCCACCCATCAGAAGCTGTTCCAGGGCATTTGCCACAGAACCTTCAGGCCTTAGGCATCTTAGAACCCACCCCCTCCCCAGGAGTCCACCTCAGTCCCAACAGCTCCTCAGCAATAGAACCCCAGCCCCTTTAACCTTGAAGCCCCTAGTCCTGAAGTTCTCTGGAACAGGCTCAGGGCCAAGTGCTCACATCTCAGGTTCTGGGAGGAGTCTGGGAAGAGCACACCCAGGGCTAGGTTAATTGCCAACTAGCCCCTCTCAAGGCAGAATCACAGTTGCAGCCCCTCTGGTCCACAGAACCCTGACAGTCTCAGAGCAGGCTCAGGTACAGATCCCTCGCCTTCCTAAGTTCTTGGGTGCCCATTCAGGGCCGGGCCCCCTGCTCCATTTGTTGGTGCTGGCTCCGCACAGCAAACCTGTTGACATGCACAGGTATGGGGACAACAATCTTGGGGTTTCTTACGGGCTCCCCAGAACGGCTGCTCACATTGCCAGCTTTGATGCGCTTCCACTTGGCCCGTCGATTCTGAAACCAGATCTTGACCTGCACCTCACTGAGCTTGAGGGCGTGGGCGATCTGAGAGCGCTCTGTCAAGCTCAGGTATTTCTTGCAATGAAATTCCTTCTCCAATTCCAAAAGCTGCTCGCTGGTAAATGCTGTGCGGCGCCGTCGGCTTTTCCCCCCAGGAGCTGTGACCCCTGCTGTCACCGGTGCCCCCTCCTCAGCTCCAGTCCCCAGGCTTCCCTTTAGCTTCGGTTTAGGTCCCAGAAGAGCCCCTGGGCCCCCTGCAGAACTGTCCAGGAAACCGTCATCCTCGCTGTCACCGCCTGAGCCCTCTTCCTCCTGTTCGCTGCCTGCTGGGTCTCCTGCTGATGCCTCCAGCTTCTCCTCATCTGAGCTGTACACCTTCCCCTCTGCTGTGAGGAGCAAGAAGCCAATGGATGGGGAGGGAGAAGCAAGAAAAAGAGAGTTTGGAGGAGGCCCATGGAACCATGGCCAGAAATGGGGGGTTGGGAGACAAGAGCAGGAAAAAAGAGAGCCATGGAGAGGAGAAGATGGGGAGGGACAGGAGGCAGAAGGATGGTATGTCCAGGATATGGAATGGGAAGAGGTTTAGGGAAAACAAAGAAATGGGAAGAAAGGTATTAACCAGCACAGATTTCACTACGGAAAAGTGTGGGAGGCAATAAGTGTGTGGACAATGACCCCTCAACTTCCCCACCACCCCCATCTCATTCGCACCCACCACCTCCCCAGCTTTCTCGGAACCTAGAGACCAAGGGCCCAGCATCGCAGTGATATACCACCCCTCCAGAGCCAGGCCTCGCAGCCTCAGGTGCCAGAATGAAGCAGTATGGGACCCGGCTTGGGATCCTTCTGGAGCCACTGGGGGGAGGAGTGAAGCAATGCAGAAGAACTGACCTTGGCAGGACAGACGGGGAGAGAAGGGCTCAGCCTTTGCACTTCTCCTAGGAGTCCTCATCTGGCCCAGCTGACGAGAGCTGTCTCATGGCCTCTGTTCTGTCTCCTCCTCTCCCTCTTCCCTAGATCTGCAGTCCCTGAACCTCATTTCCATGGCTCCCAGCCATGCAGCACCTTGAGTGTGGCCAGATTTTTTCTCCCAGTTACTTAGGCCTCCTGATCCCCTTTCAATCCTTACCCTTGACCTTAAAATGAAACCATCTCTTTCCCACCTTCCCCTTTCCCCAGCCAAGGATGCCTGAGCAGCACAAACAGCTGTTTTCTGCTCAAGTTCAGAATCCTGAGGCCCCTAAGCTTGATGTCAGCTGGGAGGACTGGAAGGAATATGGGAGGAGGAGGAGGAAGAGGGAAAAGTGCAACAGGGACAAATGAAGAGAAGGAAAGGGTAAAAAAGAAATTTTGATTCAGTAGAATACTGATTATTTGTAATCACAAGCATATAAACATTTTAATCCACACAATTCTAAAACTTAATTCAACCATTGGTTTTAATCTTTGTATCCAATGATGTTTATATCAGAACTGCAAATAATGCATTACACATGTTTTCAGTGAGTTTTACAAACTCCGTTTTCTACTCAAAGGACCAAAAAGCAGTGAAACAAGTCAAAAGACAATCAATAGGCAGGAGAACAAGAGAAAATGGATAATCTGTAAGCTGAATAGTCAGCTCCTTTCCAGAAGTGTCCACTGTGCAAAGGCAGGAGGCCTGCATACCTATATGTAGGAATGCATCTCCCTGTATCGGCCACATATCAGATATGCCTGAGATAAGCAGACTCAGAGGTTGAGAATACAACTCCAAGTAAACTAAATTCAGGGCACGGGGAAAGGCTTTATTAGAGAAAGAGGGTGTGTGTGTTCACAGATAGAACATCTCCTGGCAGTCAGAGCTTCCTGGTGTTCTCCTTCAGCACACCCCGCCCCACCCCCTGCCAAGTTCCCTTCCCCCTCACAGGTGCAGTCTACACCTGGTCTTTTTCCTCAACAGCCACATTGACATTTTCTTTTCCTATCTTTCCTATCTTTCTTTCTTTTGAGACAGAGTGAGACTCTCACTCTGTCAGCAAGGCTGGAGTATAGTGCACAGTCTTGGCCCACTGCAGCCTTGACCTTCCAGGCTCAAGGGATCCTCCACCCTCAGCCTCCCAAGTAGCTGTGACCACAGGCACACACCATGCCTGGTTAATTCTGTTTATTTTTTTGTAGAGACAGGATCTCACTATGTTGCCCAGGCTGGCCTTGAGCTTCTGGGTTCATACAATCCTCTAGCCCTGGCCTCCCAAAGTGCCAGGATTACAGGTGTGAGCCACTGCGCCCAGCTGACATTTTCCTTAGTGGCCAGAACTCTCAACCTTTTTCCACATCACCCATCTACATCCCAATCAACTTCATACCTCGAAGGTGTTTTCATCCCTCTCCTTTTCTTTCTGGAGTGCTTCCTGTTTCTTCTAACCTTCTCAAAGTCCATGCGGCATGCCCCAGTTTGGGCTCCCCCAGTCTTCCCATGCCACTCCTGTACATTGCTTTTCACCAGCCAATGGCTTTTGTTCTTCTTTACTAGTTTGCTCAGGCTTCACTGGCGCCCAGCATCAAGACCCATCTGGGTAAGTACTGTATCCTGTCTGTAGCTAATTCGCCCCTCATAATGTCTCCCATCAGCCTGTTCTTTCCCCTCTATCTCACCCCTAGCCAAATCTATGTTGTTTTCTCTAAGATTCACATCCTTGGTTTCCTCCTTCATTTCATTAAGGTCTCTTCTCCCATTATTTTCCACTTCCACAGAACTCAAACTTAACATGCCCCAAATTGAACTCCAATCAGATCATTCCCCCAAACCAGCTCTTTCTCATCTTTATCCACATCATCCCCATCTCAGTTAATGGCAACTGCATCCTCTGTGTGTTCAAACCTAACCTCGATGCCATCTTTTTACTCCTCTCTCTCACAACCCACATCCAGTCCATCTACAAGCCCTGCTAGTGCTGCTGCCTTTAAAATACCCCCAGAGCCCAATCCTTTCTCCCTATCTCCCGCTTCCAACTAGTCCACATCACAATTATCTCTGACCTGGTTCACTGTCATCTTCTAACTGGTTTCCCAGCTTCTGTCCTCCACACTCCACCTGGCCCATGATTCCTCTTTCTGTCTGGAATACACTACTCTTCACCTAGATCTTGCACTAGCTTATTCCCTACCTCTTTCAGGTCTTTATCAGTGACACCTCCCCTGGTCATCCTTTTAAAATTTAAACCCTCTGATACTCTCTATGTCCTTTCTCCGATTTATTTGTTACTTTGGTCCATTTTACCAATTTTATTCATTTATTTTACTGGCTGTCTCTTCCTAATAGACTATAGCTTCGTGAAAGTAGGTATTCTGAATATTTCTCATTCACTGCAATATCTTCAGTGTCTTGAAAATGACCTGACACTCAATACAGAGTAGACACTCAATAAGCATCTGTTGACTAAATAAAAGAAACGATTTCCAAATGCTCATGCATGTGCTCCCCGTCTTTCTTTCCCTCCCTGTCCTTTCCTTTCCTAAGCCTCTCCGACGATATTCCCCACAACCCCACCCCGCCCAGCTCCAGTGCATAAGACATCTCCCTATGAATGTTATCCTTCCCACTTTTCAGAATGCCCTCAGATCTCACATTAGCTGGAGAGGAATTCATATGCAGTAGGAATCTATAGGATCTTAAAAATCTATAGGATGCTTAAAGAAATTAAGGACAATCCTAATACCATTAGTAAATCCTCTATTTTAATTTTTTAAAACATAGTTTGTAGTAAATAATAACAAAAAGAATAACAAAGGCTTGTACAAACTCAGCCCAATATTACAATATGTTAAACAGTGCTAAAAAGGCAGAAACTAGACTTCGAGGCTTGAAGGATAAAATCAGTTAGTACAACTCCAAGCACCCAGGGGGTGTCCAATAAATCTAAATTGATGATGATTGAGATGAGGCTCCCAGGTTCCCGATCTGGCAGGGCCCTCCTGAGATCGTATCATCCATCCCTCTGTCTTCAGACAGATCCATAAAATGAAGCCCACATGAGCCGGCCACCCTCAGTGCTGCTTTTAAAGCCATACAAGGAGCACAGGTTCACAACCTCTCTTGGTTACTTGATCCCAGTGGGATGCTGAGCGGCAGGGGCAAGAGTTTCTCTCTGAGCCTTTATAATCATGACATTGAAGACTCTGATAAGCAACTCTTGAAATGAAATGGGGTGGGACAATAGAAGAAAGCAACGAGAGGAGAAAATACAGCCACATGCCTCAGAGGAGAGTCTGGGACAATGAGGAAGACCGACAAGGAGTGGGAGAGAGAAGGAAAGGCCAAGGCAGGTGGAAAGAAGACTGGGGAAGGAAAGAAGTGGGGTAGAGAAATAGCAGAAAAATTAAATGATGAGTCAGATAAAATAAAAGGGCTGAAAAGTCTAGAGAAGGGAGAGAGAAAATATGGGAAAAATCAGGGGAAAGAAAGCAAAAGGTACTTTTTAAGAAATGCCTCATCTACCTTTCCCCCCAGAATACTGATACATTTGAAGCAAAGCAAAACATTTTGGCCCTGCCATTTGCTCTCTGCTGCCCCAAGAGAAGGAGCACTGTAGACTGCAGTAGCCAAAGACACAGGCAGAGAAAGAGAATGAGCAAAACAGTAGTGCAATCCTTTACAATGTGGAAATTTCAAAACAGCTAACTATTTTCTCTGGAATTAGCTAAGAAATAAAAATATTTCCTTTTATCCAATTTATAATGAATATTAATAGTAAAAAATAAAAATTGCACATAAAAATTTGCTATTGACTAAAAATTGAAAGAAGCAAATCTTTTTTTTTTTTTCCTGAGACAGGCGCTCGCTCTGTCACCCAGACTGGAATGCAGTAGAGTAATCATAGCTCACCGCAGCCTTGAACTCCTGGTCTCAAGTGATCCTCCTGCCTCAGCCTCCCAAGTAGCTGGGCCATAGGCGCACACCACCATGGCTGGCTAACTTTTTTATTTTTATTTTTTTTACTTTTTTGCAGTGTTGGGGTCCTACTATGTTGCCCAGGCTGGTCTCAAACTTCTGGACTCAAGCAAACCTCCCACCTCGGCTTCCCAAAGTGCTGGGATTACAGGTGTGAGCCACCATGGCTGGCAAGAAGCAAATCTTGTTGATAAAATTTCTATTTGCAAAATTTGATTTAGAATAACTGGACTTGGTAGATACAATGTTCATAAAAGTAAATTTCTGGCTGGGCATGGTGGTTCATGCCTGTAATCCCAGCACTTTGGGAGACTGAGGTGGGTGGATCACCTGAGGTCAGGAGTTCACCACCAGCCTGGCCAACATGGTGAAACCCTGTCTCTACTAAAAATACAAAAATTAGCCAGGGGTGTTGGCGTGCGCCTGTGATTCCAGCTACTTTTGAGGCTGAGGCAGGATTGCAGTGAGCAGAGAGCGCGCCACTGCACTCCAGCCTGGGCGACAGAGTCTCTGTCTCGAAAAAAAAAAGTAAATTTCCAATTGCAGACAGTATAATTGGTTGGTATGAACAAAAAACGATAAATAAATAAGAATTAAAAATGTTACATGGAAAATTGCAAGTTGTTGGTTTGCATGAAAAAAATTTCCTATGGAAAATAATGAAATAATGATTCTGATGAGAATACTTCAGCAAAATGAAAATTTTAAAAATCTAAACTATTTTGTTGTGCTAGGTAAGTAGGCCAAACAGACAGAAAGGTTCTGTCCTTTATGATGAGGATGATATTATTGGTAATAAGAAGACTATATTGAGTTTCCAGCTTGTTCCCTATGGTTGAGTCTAATCTGTGAAAAACAGTTTGGCCTCTGGTCAGGGGAAGTGATGGTAGGACAGACTGGTCATTAGGAAACAGAGTTCATGTGAATTCTCCTGGTGGATGCTATTATCCTAAAAACTAGAAATCACAAGGTTTGAACCTTGATTACTTGTAGAGTTCACGTCAAGGGCATTAATCTCATTCCAGAGAACAGCACTCATGCTCCAGGAGACGTGCTTGCATGGGGCCTTCCTTCTAAGAGGAAGGGGAGCAGCTCCAGAGTCAGAAAGAAGGCCATCTCGGTAATGGGTCAGTTCGGGCTAGGGAAGAAATCAAGGGCCAAAGAATCCATAGTAGGTGTTCTCCAGCAGAAAGAACACAATGCCCTAGACTCACTCCATCTAGGCAGGGAGGCCTGCGCTAGAGGCACCGAGGAGGAGGAGGAAAAGCCAGAGGGAGTGGAGGACAACTTTATGCTCCCAACTACAGGAATTCATCTAGCCCCTGTGCTGTCCCTCATTCACCCCATTACTGCAGCTCCTGCTGTTATCACCGTAGGAAATCAATTATCTTGAGTATTCATAGAAGAGAAGCCCCTCAGTTCTGACTTATCTTCTCTCTACTTCAAAAACAACTATCCTAACACTTGCCCCAACCACTCTTAGGAAAGGTTAGGTTCTCTCCTGGTCCGCCCATCTTAGGACAATGAATCTCTTCCTGATTTTCACAGGCCAACTACTCATCTCCCTGAATCCAGTTCCAGTTTGGGTGGGGTCAAAAGGTGGGAAGAAACACAGGTCATTCCTCAAAAAAGAGACATATTTGCCATCACTCCCACTTCTAAATCCTCATTTCATCATGCCCAATACAGAATTATTTCTCTGTTCTTTTCAAAAACAGTACTTTCTCCGATTGTTTAAAACAGCCAGTTCACTCTCAGTTTATTTTTCACTCATTCTCATGAATTTCATGCTTCCATTATGCTCCTACTCCTGCCTATAATTTTAGGTATAATTGGAAACATTCATTTTCATTTTCTCTCTCTCTCTCTCTGCACTCTTCCTATGACTCTTTAGCATTCTTTACTCCAAGTCAAAAAAATTTTCTTTACATCACTGTCATCCAGAACCCCTCCCAGCTTCATGACAAGTTCAGGGCAATTTCCCACCATTTTAAGCTCAGACCTCCTTTCAGGGCATACTAACATTGCCATTTCCAAGAGCACTCTTGTATGATCTTTAACTTTTCAAAACATTTTCCACATTTACTATCTTATCTTCAAGCAGTTGACTGACGTAGAGCAGATCTATTATTAGTAGTAATAGGAGAGGTAGTAACCTTATTTTCTGGTGAAAAAATGGAGTTTCAGACAGATTAAATGATTTCCTAAGTCACGCAGAGAGGGACAGAGTGTCAGGTCTAGCATCAGAGAGGGACAGGATGTCAAGTCTCCTAAAGCTGCAGTTAACGCTGTTTTCATTCTTTCCAGTAAACTATTTTCTCCTCCTCTCCCACTTGTAAAAGCCCTCTCCCCAGATGTCTCATTAGATAAATAACCTTCTTATCAAATCCAAGTTTAGATCTCACCCCTTTTAGTCAGACTCAGTGGCTCACACCTGTAATCCTAGCACTTTGGGAAGCCAAGGCGGGCAGATCACTTGAGGCCAGGAGTTGGAGACCAGCCTGGCCAACATGATGAAACCCTGTCTCTACTAAAAATACAAAAAAAATTAGCTGGGCACATTGGCTTACACCTGTAATCCCAACTACTCGGGAGGCTGAGGTGGGAGAGTCACTTGAACTTGAGAGCGGAGGTTGCAGTAAGCTGAGGTCACACCACTGCACTCCAGTTTGGGCGACAGAGTGAGACCCTGTCTCAAAAAAAAAAAAAAAAAAAAAAAAAAAAAAACGAAAAAAAAGAGAGAGAAAGAAAAAGATCTCATCCCTTTCACTTACTACCACAGAGTCCTAGCCTAATCATTAATATCTTCCCTTAACATTCTCAGAGAAGATTCTTAAAATTGTCATCAGAGACGTTTCACTCACCAAACTTCACCTGTCCTTTAACAAGCTACTTTTCCTGTCATTCCTGAGACAAAATTCCCACCAAATCTTTCTCCCGTTCTTTTGTCCTTATTGGTTTGTATGATGTAATCTTACCAGTCAGTGCTTCTTTTATTTAAAAATGCATTTTTGGCTGGGCACGGTGGCTCATGCCTGTAATCCTAGCACTTTGGGAGGCTGAGGCAGGCGGATCACTTGAGGTCAGGAGTTCGAGACCAGCCTTGCCAACATGGTAAAACCCTGTTTCTACTAAAACTACAAAAATTAGCCAGGCATGGCGGTGCGCGCCTGTAATTCCAGCTACTCAGGAGGCTGAGGCAGGAGAATCGCTTGAACCCAGGAGTCAGAGGTTGCAGTGAGCAGAGATCGCACAACTGTACTCCAGCCCAGGCAACAGAGTGAGACTCTGTCTCAAAAAAAAAAAAAAAAAAAAAAGTGTATTTTCTAACTTTGAAAATAATAACGTCTGTAATCCCAGCACTTTGGGAGGCTGAGGCGGGCAGATCAGGAGGTCAGGAATTTAAGACCAGCCTGGCCAACATAGTGAAACCCTGTCTCTACTAAAAATACAAAAATTAGCTGGGCATGGTGGCACATGCCTGTAGTCCCAGCTACTCGGGAGGCTGAGGCAAGAGAATTGCTTGAACCCGGGAGGCGGAGGTTGCAGGGAGCCAAGATCGCGCCACTGCACTCCAGCCTGGGCAACAGAGTGAGACTCTGTCTCAAAAACAAACAAACAAACAAACAAAAACACTCAATGTTCTCTAGCTTCTAGTTTACAACTTTCTCCCTCATTCCTCATAGAGCTCTTTCTCGTATAGGTATCAGAGCAAACAGAAAGCCTCACTGAGCGATGGAAATTTTTGTACTATCTTCATCTCTCTCTGCCTTCCTCATTACAGAACTCTCTTCAGACCTTCACTGCCAGGATCTCTTTATCACTATTTAGCTAGCCAGTGGGGAAACAAAGGATTTCCTTTCAGTATTTCTTCCTAATACTGAAAGGGAGCTGAAGGCCCATTCTTTTCCTTCTTTCTGGTTGAGGTAGACATCCGTTTTGGGTTGTTTTTGTCTGCCCAGCATACCTTCCCCCTTTTGCTCAGTAGCAGTACCCGCTTCCTTTAGGTACTGCTTCCCCGCTACACTACCCACTACTTGGTGGGACTGTCAACAGCATTTCTCTACCTTCCTGATTAAAGGTGGGCATGTGACTTGGTTCTGACCAATTGTAATATGCTATCTCCCTGGAGTCATGATTCAAGCTAGCGAATTAGTCATCCCAGGGTTTTATTTACACTAGAATCCACTCAGGTCCTATAACCTGGGATTATAAAATTATAAAAATTTAGAACTGCATGTGCTTGTGCCTTCTCTTACCTCTAGCTAAATGAAGAAAGCTGTCTTAAGGAGAGAATGAGGTGAAGACAGAGAGAGGAGCCAGGTTGGGAGCAAAAAAGAAAGACCTCACAACACTACTTACATTTCTGAATCCACTCAGGTATTTTGCAGTTACAAGAAGCAATAAATCCCCGTTTTAGCTGAGAGCTGAGCCACTATCACTACCAACCCGAAGAGTTCTGACTAAGTACGATGCTGTAACCAGAAGAGACAATGGTCACATGACTCCAGGGAAAGTAAACCTCTCCACCTCACTCCCACAACTCTCCCATCCACGCTAATGTTTCCATATTACCTAAAATTATTCATAGTAATACCACATAAGATTCCACCAGTTTGAAATTCATCTGGACTTTAAAAAATCTCAACCCACCTGAGTGTGAATTAGTTTAATCCAGTGGCTTTGATTTTAACATCAAATTGAAATGAAACATATGAGGGAACAGAAATTTTTTGATAAAGAAACAAGAAGAGTTTTTTTGTTTTTGTTTTTGTTTTTTTTTTAATGGAGAGAAAGGGAGAACAGGCCCTAGTGAGGCACAGTAAAGGGGTTTTCAGCAGGCTTGGGATTTACAGAGGACACCAAAATGTGAGACAGGGAAACCGAAAAGAGGGAGAAAGAGCCAAAGACACATGTGAAATCTACCCCTAATTAGATTCAGTACAATGTTCTTTCCTGGCAGTCCCCGAATAATCAGTTCTCAGAACACAGAACTACTCTATCATCACTCCCAGAAATATTTGTCCTTTTCAATACATAGAGTGTCACCTATCCTACACCATTCCTAGTAACAAGATCTTTCCCAACTTAATTCCCAGGAAAGCGCCTCACATATTTCCAAGAAAAGGACAATAAGGATAAATTCTTGAGCACCTATTACTTTCAGGATGCTGCACAAATATCTGTGCATTTAATCCTTAACCCTGTGAGGTAAATATTACTGTCCTTATTTTGCTGGTGAGGAAACAGACTGTACAGGTGAGTACTTCCTATAGATCACAAAGAAAGTGCGCCACCAACATCTGTACCCAGCTTTCCTGACCAAAGCCCATGCTTGCTCCTTTGCACTACACCTCATCTCTTTGTTAACATTTAATGTAAAAAAAGTGTCTGAATTTTTTTTTTTTTTTTTGAGACAGGGTCTCACTCCGTTACCCAGGCTGGAGTGTAGTGGCATGATCTTGGCTCAGTGCAGCCTCCACCTCCCAGGCTCAAGGGATCCTCTTACCTCAGCCTCCAGTGTAGCTGGGACCACAGGTGTGCGCCACCACTGCTAGCTAATTTTCTGTATTTTTTGTAGAGACGGGATTTTGCCATGTTGCCCAGGCTGGTCTCGAACTCCTAGCCTCAGCCTCCCAAAGTGCTGGGATTACAGCCATGAGCCACTGCACCCAGGCAGAGACTGAATTTTTGTTGTTGTTTTTTGAGACAAGGTCTTGCTCTGTTGTGCAGGCTGGAGTGCAGTAGTGCAATCAAATCTCACTGCAGCCTCAAGCCTCAACCTCTCAGACTCCAGCAATCCTCCTACCTCAGCCTTCTGAGTAGCTGGGACTAGAGATACACACCACCATACCTGGCAAATTTCTTTTGGTAGAGACAAGGTCTCACTATGTTATACCAGGCTGATCTCAAACTCATGGACTCAAGTGATCCACCTCGGCCTCCGAAAGAGCTGAGATTACAGGTATGAGCCACCATACTAGGACGAGACTGAATTCTAATGTCAGCCTATCATAAATATTGTTCCAGATACAGAAACAATATAGAAGGCCAGGAACCAATTTTACAACACAACTTCTCTTCTTTTCCAGTGCTTCCTTCCTCGCCAGTTAAAGTTGGTCCCAACTGATCCCCAATCTATTTGGCCTATACAAAATCTACCGTCTTTATCAAATGTTTCTCTCTCTCATTTAATGTGACAGCTATACACAGTCATAGCTTGGGTATGCCCTCCCCAATCCCAGAAGACAAGCCTTTTCCACCGTAAAGACCAGCCCTGATCTCACCTCAAGATGCATGCATCTTACCTTGCTACCTCCTCCTCCTCCATGACTACAACACCACTGAAAAGTATAGTTTCCCCAGGCCCTTCGCTCAGGATGCCTTTCTTTTTTAAAAGAAATAATTCATTAATAAAGATATCCTTATAGATAAAAACAGAATTGTAGAGCTGGAAGGAATCTTAGAGATCACCTAATTCAAGCCCCTAATTTTACTGATGAGGAAGCTAAGACACTTCCTTTGCTTAGGCTAATCAGTTTATGTACTTGTAGTGTCCACACATAATTCATAGAATAGTTATTAATTGCAGCACAAAGCACTTCTTGCCTTTACACTCAGGGTAATTACATCTCCTTCCCTCAATGGAGACACCTCTGCATTACTTCTCTTCCCACTGTTCCCACTACAGAGTTCTGTTTTCTCCATTACTTCTATTATAATATCATCTTCTCCATAATTCAGTCAAGACATCTGCCTCCCATTATCCCCAGTCAGAAGTATTTTCCTGTTCCTCCCAGTCCTCATATTTTGAACAGTGCCTTTTGCTTATAACCCTCATCTGAGTTCCTATAGCCCCTCTACTTCTAATACAGATTCTTTTCATCACATAAGGATCATTGCTTTCCCCTCTATAATGGCCAGTGAAGACACTGCTTGCAGCACCTGTCTCTTTCTACTACACCTGAATTCAACTTGTGTAGGCCACTCCTCTATTGCACCAAATGCAAGCATCTCTTCTCCCTATCACCCTTTCTCTCAATTAGTCCTAGCACATTAGCATTTCATCCACAGTACTCTAAGCTGATAACTTTCTCCCAACAAGCTCAGACTTCCAAAAAAAATTTCCCGCCTCTTTTTTACTACACTCCTAATCCAGGCCTTTTGTCGGTTATGAGCACTACCTTGCATAGAGAGCTCTGTCCTTTTCACTGGTTCAGACACAAAGTTTCTTTCCTACCCCAGCACAGGGCATTTCCCCATTCCCTCCTTCTTCCCACCAAATTCTTTCCTTCTCATCATTCCTGTTTAAATCTCTCTCTCTTTTATACATCTACTCAATTACTTCTCTTCTATTTCCTAATTCCAAATCAGTTTCTTTTCCCATTACTTTTCTTTTCCTATTACTTCCCAGGCAGAATTCTTGCTTCCTATTGTAACATTTCTCTCAATGCAAAGCACTTTGCTCACAATGCATGTTCTTCCTTCTTTCCAATTAAAATATTTCCCCCATTATTCCAAATATTACCTCTCTGCATTATTCCCAGTATAGTCTACTCATGCCTGCCACTCCAAGTATAAGAATCCTCCTCCTAATCATCTATTATATATATCTCCATATTTACATGTGCCACCTTAGAGACTCTTTCTCTCTGCCAACCCCTGAAGGGTTACTTTCACTATGGCACAGGGCATCTTAGCCTCTGATTCTAATCCTCCTAATAAAATTTTCCTGTTGTCACTCCTGAGGTCTATCTCTGATCCAGGGGGTTCTTCACCCTTTTGTGCCCTTAAGTCCTTTGTCAGTCTGGTAAAGCCTATGAACACTTTCTAGAATAATGCTTTTAGACATACAACATAAAATACATAGTATTACATTTGAAGTCAAGTATATTAAAATATAGTTTAAAACAGAACTTGTGATATAATCATGTTTCTTTATTCATTAAACAAGGTCCCTCCAAAGACTGTAAATGTATATCAAACTATCTGTGATTTCTTTCACTGACAAAAACATCATGCACGCTGAAACAACTATGATTTTTGGCCTATATTCATAGTTGAAGTGATAAAAAATAAAGGTATAAATTTTCTCCCACCCATAGCTAACAGATCCCCTGATGAAAGGTCTGTGGAGTCCAGGTTGAGAGCTCTACTTTAAACACTGAGGCCTAGAGAATTGAAAGGAACATTAAAAATCATCTGAACCAAAACTTTTGGCCCAGCTGAGGAAACCAAAGCCTAGAGAAGTCATGTGACTTTGAATCTCCCACTGTGTCTCAAATATACTAAGTCTGTAGTAATAGACAGACAATAAATGTTCCCTGAATTGAACTAAGTGACTTGTCAAAATTATACAACTAATGAGTGACAAAGGTGAGAATTGAATCCACGTGTCACAACTCCTAAACAAATGTTCCATCAATCACATTAAGTTAATGCAGTATTTGCCTTTCTATAAATGTCAATGCAGCAATCACTCTGACTGTATGCTCAAAAGTTCTAGGAAAACATACTCTGGATCTCCATCACTTCCCCCAAAAATCTCCCTCTTGTTTCTAACAACATAATTCTCTAATTCCACGTCATATTATCATTTTCTGTTTTCCTCTCATAAGTAAATATCATATCTTGACAATCATAATGGATACCTATTCAGAAATTAATTAATGGTCATCCAAATGTTCCCTAGCTACATTCAGGTGCTTAGCTTACGGTAATCAGCACTTGAATACGAGGCTCCTAGGAAGTCTCCCCGGTCTCCTTGCATGATTTCAATTATTATTGCCAATCTGTATTCAGAAATTAGCAAATCTTTTTAAGCTTAGTTTAAAAAAACAATGTTTACTACAACAGCATGTCTCAAGTTTGTCCCATCATATTCCCATATCTTCTATATAACCTTAAACTACAAATGTTTTCTTCACTATGCCCAATACTGGTATTAGTTTTCACGTCAATCTCTCACTACATTTTTGTCATCCATCTAACAAATATATATGGAGTAGCTACCATTCCTCACTTCCTAAGCTTTTGCATTCAGGCAATCCAATCTTCTTTTTCCCCTGAGTGAATAATTGCTCTAGACACCCCCAACTCAAAGTTTTCTTCTGCCTTTTTTTTTTTTTTTTTTGAGATGGAGTTTTGCTCGTTGCCCCCCAGGCTGGAGTGCAATGGCACAATCTCGGCTCACTGCAACATCTGCCTCCTGGGTTCAAGTGATTCTCCTGCCTCAGCCTCCTGAGTAGCTGGGACCACAGGCATGCGGCACTAAGCCCGGCTAATTTTGTATTTTTAGTAGAGATGGGGTTTCTCCATGTTGGTCAGGCTAGTCTGAAACTCCCAATCTCAGGTGATCTGCCCATCTCGGCCTCCCAAAGTGTTGGGATTACAGGCGTGAGCCACCGCGCCCAGCTTTCTACATTTCTCCACATTCACGGCTCTTTTCATCATTTGCCCAGCACATAGCGTCCTTTTCACCCACTGTTGCTGTGATGCATATCTGCACCACATCTTGCACACAGCAAGTTAGCTTTGATTACTCTCAGCCAGAGCTCACACAAACCGTCAGACACACGAGATAATCTCTGCCCATCCCACCTAAGACAGAATTCTGTTCTCTCCTGTCATTTAGTGCTTCCTGCTCTCTTCTCTCCATTATTCCTAATACACTGAGGACCCATTATCCAATTCAAAGCTCCTTTTCCTCCATCACTTTCACATAACTCTGTTCTTAAAACTCTCTAGATCCGTCATGTTGAATACGGTCACCACTGTTCACCTGTGGCTACTGACCAACTGAAACATGGCTAGTCCAAATGGAGATGTGCTGGAAGTGTAAAATAACACTGGAGTTTGAAGACTTAATATGAAAAGAAGATATAAAATTATATCATTAAAATGTTAATATTGATTAATGTTGAAATAATATTTTGGACATCTTGAGTTAAATAAAATTAAAATTAATTTTACCTATTTTTATCTTTTTAATGTGGCTAATAAAAAATTTTTAATGACATATATGGCTTGCATATATCTCTACTAGCCAGCACTGCTTTGGGCTCTTCTATTGAGTCATACTTTAATCTTTCCTAACAGTTCGGAATTCTCTCCTCTTTATTACTCTTACTAAAAGACATTCTCTCAATTTTCCCCACTGCTTCCCACATTCCAAACTTGTGATTCTTTTCAATCTACCATTTTCAATAACTTTCTACCCAATTACTTCTATATATCATATTTCTTTTCACCTGCTAATATAGCTTCTACTCCTGCAATCAAGTCATAACAAAGTTCCTTTTATCCTTCCTCAGTTCTAGTAGAGAATGGTACCTGTCTTAACTCTCAACAAATTAAAAAAAATAGTCCCTGTAATTCCCAAAGAAAATCACTAATCATTCTCCAAATTGGCCTATCTACACTATGATTTTATTTAAACGGGTTAGCAGTTGTAAAACACTAAACAAATGTAAATTAATAATAATTTCAGACCCATGTCACTCATTCACACAAGGAAAACAATTTCTCCTCTGTCATTTTAAAGATTGCATTATTTCTCCAAATTCTTCTAATGTTGAGGTTTCAATCCCATTATTCACAGCAGAGAGCTCTGTCATTTCACTCCAAATACTTTAATACAATTCCCAAAACAGAGTATTTGTTTTCCAACCAGTTTTAGCCTGGGTCATGTGTCATCAGTCCCCAAATTGATATTATGTCTCTCATTTCTGGAATTGCATTTTCTTTTCTCAATGATTTCTGGAAAAACTCAAGATTGGGAAGGTGGATATGAATGGCTTGCCCAGGAAGAGTTGGAAGCGTGTTTACTGAGAGTGACAGAAGCAGCCGTCACAGATAGGAGCTCTCATTCCTCATGCTCTTTGAATGTTTCTTCTGAAGTCTCTCCTCCTTACTACTGTGTCCCAGCCTCCCCACTATAAACCCTTTACATGTATCTCCTCCCAGCATGAGTGATTACCTTTATTCCAGCACTTTTTCAAAATTCTTCCTCTGTAAGTTCTCCTTTCCATTATTCTTGGCAAAAAAAATTCCTTGCCTTTACTCCAAGAACAACACAAATTTCCCTCTTTTTTTTTTTTTTTTTTTTGCTTTCAACATTTTCCTCGGATGATGAAGCTCTGTCATTTTATATAAATTCCAGTTTCCCCTCACTCTCAATATTAAAAACTCTTTAAAGAAAATTACTCCTAGTGTTGAAACTTTTCCTTATTCCCCTAGTATTTTTATTTAGTTCCCCCCAAATCCTCTCATGACAGAACTCTTACACACACACACACAAACACACACACACATACACACACACACTCACTCACACTTGTGGTCCAGTAATACAGTTCACTTTTCATTTAGTCCAGTCCAGAGTTCCTTTTCCAGCAGAGAACCCTCTCCTTCTTCATGTTCTCTTTGTATATTCCAGTATACAACTCATCCCCTGGTCCTTTCCTCTATTCTTGTTTCATCAGTATTTCTCTTCTGTTTTTTCTCTGCTTATTCCTCTCTTTCTCAATGTCTGTTTTTATAGCCAATATACTATATGATCCAGAAAAGAGCTCCCATTATACATATAGGTCAAAATAAGAACTGAGCAGACCTGAAAGGGTGGGACAAATTGCTTGTTGTCCCACAGTTTGGGCATATGCCCCTAAGTCCCCGCTACCAAGGGATCCCCCCTCCATCCTCTCTCTTCAGCTCATCTCTTTCTATATGTGTCTGGTTACACCTTCAGGTCCTATCTCCTCCAAAGTCATCTCTTTGATGGCCTGTCTTACTCTTTTTTCTGCCTTAGGACCATCCTATTCTGACAATCATACTAATCTTTTTTTCTTAAGATCATCCTGCTGGCTTCCAGGCTCCCGCCCTGGGCCCTTTTATCTTGTGGACATTTTCTCCCACCTTCCAGTTGCTGCTCTATCTGTTCCTTATGATCCCCCTTAGAAGATGCTATTCTGACTTCAGTTACTGGGTCTTCCTGATCCAACCAGGTACAAAAAAGAAAACAACAGCTGAATCCCCAAAAGCAAAATGCCAGGGCGAAAGGAGAAAAGAATAGGAAGACAGGCCCCATGGCAGCCTTTGGGGTCTGAAAGAGTGATTAACCCTTTGGACAATGTCAGAAAGGGCCCCATAACTGATAATCAAGAATTATCTCTGCTGGCAAAGGACAAAAGCACTCTTGCATTCCCTTCTTGTCTCTGTTCAAGTCAGCTCCCAGGCCTACTGGGGTCATTTCCACCTCTAAGCTGGATGCAATGAATGGTTGAGCAGAAGCGGTTCCATCCTGATACTAAAGATGTTGAAGCATCAGAGTCCCCACACTTGCAAGTGGTGCCTATTTTTCTTAAATAGGGCCCAGCAAATTGTATAAGCTTTGGAACTCAGAACACCTGAATCTGTCTAGCCAGAAGAAAGCTTTTCTGGCTTCTAGGAGTTAAGGACCAATAGAGAGGTCAGGAGGGCTCTAATTGAATGGACTCTAAACAAGGTTCAGTTTAATACACCCTGCCTCTATGGAGAGGGCACCATTCATGGAGGGTCCAGGGCCCTTGAATTATCTGTCAGCTGAATCTTAGCTGGGTTCTGCACCCTAGATCTTTGGGCCACACCCAACTCAGCCCAGCCTTTAGCCTCTCTCTTGGTCTCCTAGTCAGCACTTGTCCAGCGTGTGCTAGGCCTCCTGTAGCTAATGTTCTCTTTGGCCCCCTACTCAGTTCTTCAAGGCTTAGCTCTGAATCTGCCAATTCAGAAGTCACGGCTTTGAGACGCAACCCCCCCCCCCCAACACACACACACACACACACTCTTTTTGCCCCTGCATCCACAGAGCCTATTCCTATCCTTTGAGCCTTTAGGGTCAGTATGATCTCCTTAGAAGCCAGAACGTGCCCTCCATTGCTGAATTGACAGCTGCTTCAACATACCCCCATCTTGGTGCCCCCGGAAATCCCATCCTTGTAGCTTGTCTACCCCTGACAGAGGAGGAAAAAAATGAAGGAATTCTGAAAAGGAGACAGGGCCAAGTCTTGATGGCTAGGATGCTGAGGGAAAGGCACTAATGTGAAGGGAGCACTGCAAAGTCTTCGGTTAGCCTTCAGGGCTATGGGGACAGAGCAGGGCGGGGGTTCTGGAATCTAAAGAGGCTGTATTTGGAACTGAATTGGAGTCAGAACCTGCGCGCGATCTAAAGGTCTGGGACTTCAAGGCTCCAGGCAGGTGCCGAGGTGCCGAGGTTCCGAGCAGGTTCCTGTCTGGAATTTCCAGGTGAACCGGCCTCCCGCCAGCCCTGGTCGGCCCTAGCACTTACCGGGCAGACTTGGAAAAGTCTCTGAGAAGTGCGGAGGCGGAGGTGGTGGGGGCTCTGCCACTTTCTCCCGGGCCGGCAGCAGCTCATCAGCTTCCAGCCCACCCTCTGGGCGTCGGCCGCCTGGCTCGGGGTTGTTTCGGGCGGCAGTGGCGGCGGCGGCGGCAGCGGCGGCGGCGAGCTCCTGGGGCCCGTAGAAAGCGTCGGGCGGCTCCGCGAAGCTGGGCAGCGCGGTGGTCAGCGCCACCATCGAGGGCACAGCCTGACCCAGCCCCGCGCAGAAGGTGTTGGTAAGGCGGCCGGCGAAAGAGGCTAGCGGGGCGAGGGGCGGGAGGCCAGCGGGCAGCGGCGCAGGGGCCAGCGCCTGCGGCAGCACGAGCGGCCGGTAGGGCATGAACATGGGGTAGCCGGTGTACAGCAAGTGGCCGGAGCGCGGCGGCGGCGGCCCGATTAGGGAGTCGATGGAGAAGGCAGTGCCCGGGCCCCCGCCGCCGCCCCCGCCGTTGCCCCCAGGGGCGCTACCGCCTCCGGCCCGCTGCATCTTGTTCGGAGCTGCGGCCGCCCCGGGGCGCTCCTCTCTGGGCGCCTCCGTGCGCCCCGCGGCTCGGGCGCCCCGCGCGGACACGCAGGGCTCGCTCCCTGGCTCCCGGGCCGAGGTGGCGGCGGGGCGCGGGCTCGGCGCAGTGTGGCTCCGGCGCCGCGCTCCCTCTCTCTCATAAGGAGGGAGGGGGCGGGCGAGCAGGCGGGCTGGGGGTGTCGCCCTCCGGACTCATCCATCTTCCTCAAATTACGCTTCATTTCCTCCCTCCGCCCGCCGCCGCCGCGCCCGGCTCCCGCTCCCTCCGCAGAGCCCGTTCCCAGCGGCCCGGCCGGCCGGCCCGGGACCCCCACCCGCCCCCCGCGGCCCAACCAACTATTATTAATGGAGATTGATGAGGCCGGACACGCCGCTTTGTGAAAGTTTGCGGCCGACGAGAAGGCGGCGGCAGCTGCTGGGCCGGTCCCCTTCCCTCCACCCAGTCCACCCCCCCAACTCAGCCCACCTGGCCCGGGCTCCGGCTAGGAGGGCAAGCGGGAGGTGGCCCAGGCTCCGATGGGGCGGCGGGGCCGAGCGTGGATGGGACACCGGGCGGCAGGCGGAGAGGGCGCACCAGCAGGGACAGGCGGCGGGGCCGGACCTCAGCACCCCTCTGCTCCGGGCCGCCGCCCTCCTTCGGGCCCCAAGTCATTCCCCGGCGTGCCTCCCAGCTCCGACACCCCTCCCCTGCCCGTGGAGCGGACGTTGTGGCGGTCCCCAGAGCAAGCTCCGGCGCGACGGGCGGGACAGCACGGCCACCGCCCCCTCCAGCGAGAGCGCGGGGCTGAGGGAGGCGAGGCGGGGCCGACAGGGGGCGCGCTGGGCCCGCCCGGTTCTGCGGCTTAGGGCCACTCTTACGGGGCCCCTTTCCTCCTATCTGCCCCATTCGCACTCTGGCCTCTGGTCTCTATTCTCTTGGCATTGGCTCTTCACCTTCTTCCTCATTCCCTCCTCCATCTCCAACTTCCCCTAGTCCCTTTCTCTTGCCTCGGTGGGTAATTTCCTTGAGTGCCCACACTATGCCAAGTACTTACCATTCCTCTGACCTTTCCCCTCCATCTTTCTCCCGTCCTTTACATTCTTTTTCTTCCTCCCACCCCTCTTCCCTTTCCCGTCCTCGTTTCTATTCCTATTCCTCTGATTATTTCTTTCCCATCTCTCATTCCTTATCCCAGTCCCTCTTACTCGATTTTTCTCATGTCTTTCCTTTATCTGTATCTCTTGTCTGTCTGTCTGTCTATCTCTTGTCTCCCTCCCTCGCTCTCTCTCCTTCTCTTCTGCTATTAATTTTCCCTGATTGGCTCCCCAGCTCCAGCGCCGCTGATGAGCCCTATTCATTCCCGGGCCTGACACTCACGACCTGCCCTGGCTGATTGCTGGGGGCTGGCCCCAGGAGCGCTGATGAGCCCCAAGGGTCAGCAGCGCTAATTATCCGCTAATTGCAGATGACTCTCACCTCCCCCCTTCTGAGACACAGAAATGGTGGCGCCTTTTACCATCGTCCTCCCCCTCCTCCCAATTCCCAGCAGTAGAGTTGTCAATCTAGAGGCAAAAGTCAGACAGTTTGGCTTGATAGCCACCTCAGGTCAGTGGGCAAGAAAGAGACAAGACAGGCAAGTCAACAGAAGAGTGACTCAAGCTTCAGGACACAGGGCAAGCCTGGCCAGCTACAGTGAGTGTCATCTGGTCACAAGGAAATTGTTATTCAGGTGAGGCTGGGTAGAGCCAAGCTAGTTAAAACTGATAACAGTAAAGCCAGGCAAGTTTAGGAAGATGCAGTCTAGGTAGGGGAAGTGATTTGGCTCCAGCGAGGACGAAAACCTACACAAGTTCCAGGATTGCCCGGCCAAGACAGAGCAGGGCAGGAGGGAACTCTGGGTCTCAGTGACATTTGTCCCAAATCAGGAGTGTTGTGTTAGCCTAGTGAACACTGTTAAAGTCAGGCTGATGTATTTAAATCAGTACCTGAAAGACACTGTCACCAGGGTGGACTGAGGAAGGGGGCAGGACTCAAGAAGGGAGTTTTTTGGTTATGCCTTAACTGACAATTCATCAGAGAAGTGAACAGAGAAGAGTGTCATTTCCATGCAGTCTTGATCTACCTTGGGCTCCACATTAAACCAGTGAAATTTCTAAGGAACGAGTCTGGTGGTAAGATGTCACAATGGAGAAAGAAGAGGTGCCTTAGCTTAACTCCAACTCACTACTAAAGAACTTGTCTAAAGATACTCTTCAGAACACCCCTTTGCTAAATTAACCAAGCACTTTACCATACCAACATGCAAGATGAAGCTTCAAAAGTATATTGTATTTTTAAAGTGAGAGGGCTTATCGGTGTTGGATACATAACAGAGGCTTACTGACTTGACAAATTGAGGCAACTTTGGGCTACAAAACTGAAATTAAACCTGTATGAGCAGTTACAGGATCAGCCAAATAAGGCATGAAGGAAGAACCATTTTTAAAAGTAATTGCATTCATTTATTGCATAGGTAATAAAATCACATAGTACCAAGTTCCAAAAGCTCAAAAGGATATATATTGAAACATCTCTCTTCCACCAGTCCCTTCAATAAAAGGCCACTTTAAGAAGCCTGTCACATTCTGGTATGTCAAGGACTCAAGATTAAAAGACCCTCTGATTGTATTAGCCAAGCACGGTGGCACACACTTGTAGCTCCAGCTACTTGGGAGGCAGAGGCGGGAGGATTGCTTGAGCCCAAGATTTGGAGGTTAGAATGAGTTATAATCACACCACTGTACTCCAGATTGGGTGAGAGAGGGAGACCTTGTCTCTAAAAAATGTCTTAAAGACCCTCTGGGCTGGGCATGGTGGTTCATGCCTGTAATCCTAGCACTTTGGGAGGCCGAGGTGGGTGAATCACCTGAGGTCAGGAGTTCGAGATTAGCCTGACCAGCATAGTGAAACCCCATCTCTACTAAAAATACAAAATTAGCTGGGCATAGTGGCACATGCCTGTAATTCCAGCTACTTGGGAGGCTGAGGCAGGAGATCGCGTGAACCTGGGAGGTGGGTTGCAGTGAGCCGAGATCGCACCACTGCACTCCAGCATGGGCAACAAGAGGGAAACTCCATCTCAAAAAATAAATAAATAAAATAACCCTCTGATCTTGAAGATATATGTCGCCTAGTTCATGCCAAGAGCTTATTGCTTAGAACTATACTCAGTAAAGTGGATTCTCTACTCAAGCTGGCACAGGAAGTACCTACTTTTTTTTTTTTTTTGAGATGGAGTCTCGCTCTGTTGCCCAGCCTGGAGTGTAGTGGCATGATCTTGGCTCACTGTAACCTCCTCCTTCCGGATTCAAGTGATTCTCTTGCCTCAGCCTCCCAAGTAGCTCTGATTACAGGCGCCTGCCACCATGCCCGGCTAATTTTTGTGTTTTTAGTAGAGACAGGGTTTCACCACGTTGGCCAGGCTGATCTCGAACTCCTGACCTCATGATCTGCCTGCCTCGGCCTCCCAAAGTGCTGGGATTATAGGCATGAGCCACTGCGCCTGGCCAGGAAGTACATACTTAAAACTTAGTGCCAACAAATCCCAGTGGGCCACCAATTCTGAACAGAGGCAGGTGAGACCTTAAGTACTTCTACTGACCTGGTGTGGTTTGTGTTTGTTAGATACTGTATTTCATAACCCATTTATATCCTCTATCTGTTCCCTTGCCATGCTAGAGATACGAAGTGTGACTTCTGTGAAGTCCTTGACATTCCGTAACATTGGCATACATAGTGGCAACTGCAGCAACCCATTTCCTTTCCCTGCCCTTTCATAGAACATAGAACTGAGGCCACATGGTAAATGGAAAGAAGCACTGGCTAAAGGAAAAAGACCTGGAATCAAATTCCTCTTCTGACCCCTCACTGGGCCCTGTGACCTTGACCCCTCTTTGACATCTCCATCTGTGAGGGAGAGTGATTAATATCTACTCTGGCTGGGTACAATGATTTATGTCTGTAATCCCGACACTTTGGGAGGCCCAGGTGAGAGAACCACTTGAGACCAGGAGTTCAAGCCCAGCCTGGGCAACATAGTGAGATCCCGTCTCTATAAAAAAAAATTTAAAAATTGGCCAGGCATGGTGGCACATGCCTGTAGTCCTAACTACTCAGGAGGCTGAGGTGGGAGGATCACTTGAGCCGGGGAGGTTGAGGCTTCAGTGCGCAGAGATTGTGCCACTGCACTCTAGCCTGGGTGACGGAGCAGGACCCTGTCTTACAAATAAGAACAACAAGGGCTGGGCGTGGTGGCTCACGCCTGTAACCCCAGCACTTTGGGAGGCTGAGGCGGGTGGATCACGAGGTGAGGAGATCCAGACCATCCTGGCTAACACGGTGAAACCCCGTCTCTACTAAATATACAAAAAATTAGCCAGGCGTGGTGGCAGGCACCTGTAGTACTAGCTACTGGGCAGGCTGAGGCGGGAGAATGGTGTGAACCCAGAGGGCGGAGCTTGCAGTGAGCAGAGATCACACCACTGCACTCCAGCCTGGGCGACAGAGTCAGACTCCGTCTCAAAAAAAAAAACTTTGTCTAGTCAAAAAGCAAGGGCAAGAGTCAATTGAATATGAAAAAACACCTTCCAAAACGAGTTCTTCCTGCACTAAATAGACAAAGAGTAGAGTGGCGAAGAAAGGAAGGGGACTCATTTTCCCTGAAATCCAGAGCACTCCAAAAACTACTTCACTCTCTCATCAGTATCAAGTACAGACCTTACCTCTGTCAAATCTGAACAGAGCTAGTTCCTTTCTTTACCAGCAAAAAACTATGATTCTCCTACTGAATTCCTGAACAGACGCATTATGGGCAAGTACCTGGTCTCATTGTCCGAAACAGAATTCTGAAAGTGCTGCTTTGTCCATATTCTCTGACATTTGGGAAATGCTCCTACAGAGGAATTTTATCTTTAATCTACCCTCTGTGCCCACCGCGGCCTCATCATCTGGCCTGACCTGTGTTGCCAACCAGCACCAAGGATGCTAAGAAAAAAACAAAGTATTCAAGTCAAAGACCACAAATCTATACCTCCAATCCACTCATTGGCCAGAGAAAGTCCTCTCATGGTGGGCAGCGTCGGGCCTGGCCGCGGGTGCCCTCTGGTGGCAGCAGCGCACAACTGCGGGCACGGCGAAGGAGGTGCGGGGTGCTGCAGCGCCCCCTGGCGACAGTCCAGGAGACGCGCCGAGGGCAAAGAAACCACTAACGGAGCATCCAAGGGCGAGCGCGCGGGACGCCTCTAGATGCTTAACTGTGAATGCACTGTTTGGGGACGGGGGGTTGTACGTGAGTGTCTTAACGTCTAGTGTGCGTGAGTGTAGGGTTAAGTATGTTTAGTGTGCCCCGGTACCCGAACCCTGTATTTCTGTTGTGTTAAATGTGTACAGTATGTATGAGCCCGCGCGTTCACACGCGGGTAGGTTGGTGGTGGGGAGGTCCGCGCCTCAGTGCAGGGCGGAGTCCTCACGGAGGCGTGAAATTGGTTTGGAGCAAACACATTACGAAAAGCAATTACCAGGGAGAGGTTCTGGGCCCGCGGGACCAACAGCCAGGAGGCTGGGGAGGGAGCGCCCTGGCTCGCAAGAGTCTGAATGTCTAACCCCAGTGAGGACCCTCCTGACATTGCCCGCTAAGGGGACAATATGTGAAGTTGTGCACAGCCCCTTCACAGCCACCACTCCACATCGCCTTTCTTCCCTTCCCCGTCCTTAAAAAGGCATCCCATGATCGCAGGCTCTCCAGATGTGGCCAGAAATCCTCCCCCATCTTCCTATCACTTTAGAGGAGGGTCCTTCTTCTGGGACGCCCTCCCAGATCTCAACCCCATTCCTCACCCTCCTCTTCATGCCCCCAGCTCCTGCTCCCACGTTTATCTTGCATTCATCCTATTGCCCCTTGTATTCTAACTGGTTGTTCACACCCTTGTTTCTCAGACTAGACTGAAGATTCACTGAGGGCAGGAGCGTGTCTCGTTCCCAGCAGGGCATGAAGCACCTAAAACCTGGGGACCCGGAAGCACACAGTGAACCAAGTGGGTGCGATCAAATAGAATTTCCATCAAAATCCACCAGCAGGACTCTCTCGGGCAAGTCATCTGCGGGAGTCGGGATTCCCTGGGAGCAGAGCTCCAAACTCTTTCCCGCACCAGCGAGCCCGCACTCGCATGATACCCAGACCTGCGCTCGACCTGGCCCCAGATCCCCGTGCCAAGGGCCACAGCCTCTGAGATGCTTCCTAGGCGGCTCCAGTGCCATCTCCCCAGCAACGGCCTTCTGCTTCCCGTTACTTCCTCGTCTTCCCCATCTTAGCATCTGGCACCACCGTCCAGGGGTCCAAGCCAAAAACCTGCGAGTCGCCCTAGACAGCGCTATTCTGCAGCCCCCTACATCCCCCCCAGCGGCGGCCCCCCAGTTCTTCCCAGGGATCCCGAATCTCGCCCGCCGCGACCACCTCTGGCCTGGACCACCGCCGCAGGTGCCCCCCGACCCACGCCCGCAGCCAGGACGGTCCGTCCTGCCACTCCTACTGATCTGCTCTACTCAGGTCTCAGGCTAAATGTCACCTCCTCAGAGAGCAGGTTTCCCTGTCACCGACTGCCAACCCCCCATCCCGCACGTCTCTCCCCGGGCTCGGCAGCACCTGCCGCTTCCTCCTGTGCGCCGCGCTCCGGCTACCCCGCGCAAGCGGACCCTGGTGGGGGCCTGGAGGGCAGTCCTTGCCCCCGTGCGGCGGTGCCTGAACGCAGCAGGCCCTGGAACGGCTGCGGAACAAACCATCGAGCACTAGGGCGTCCCCCGGGACCCCCACCCGAGCCGCGGTCTCCACGGGGCGCCCCGCAGGCCCTCGACAGGAGTGGGCCTCGCGCACCAGGTTCCCGCCCATGTCTTGGGGCAGCCGCTTCCTGCCCGCGAGGTGGGGCCTGTGCGGTCGGGGTCCGCCTGGGGTTTCCACAGCGAGGAGCCTCCACCGCTTGCCCACCCGCACCCGCGTCCCAGAGCCGCGCCCTAGTACCTGAAGCCAGACAGACCGGTCAGCCCAAGGTCCGTGAGGCCAGGGTGGGAATCCGGGCCCCCTCACTTCCTCTCCGCTTCTCCTCAGCCGCCTCTCAACGCCTAACCCGGCTTCGGGCTCTGGTCCGCGCGGCCTAAAGCCTCGCGACCTCCAGGCCTCGCCCCCTGCCGCCTCGCGCCCTCCAGGCCCCAACCCCTGTCCCTTCGCGCCCTCCTGGCCCCGCCCTTCGTCGCCTCGCTAGTGCCGGTTGGCGGGAAAGTCGCGAGCTCCAGCGCTTGCGCACTCCGCCGCCTGGGGGAACTCTGTCCAGCGACCCTTGACGTCAGGGATCACGGTGCACTTGATTGGCTGCTCTGTCCCGACCACCTGCCCTTCGCCTGTGGTTGCAGGCAGCTCCCGACTGCTGGGGCCTCTGGCAGGTTCTGAAAATCCTGATACTGCAATGACCCTCAGGGACTCTCCTCCCTCTCTTTTTACAGATGCAGAAACGTGATCCCAGAGAGGGAAGAGACTTACGTTCCACAAGTTAATGGCAGAGTTAAGACCAGAACCTGTGTCATGGAACTTTCAACTCAGCGCTCTTGCGGCCAGAGCTAAATTTAAGGAAGGAGCAGATAAAAGAGGCAGGAACCAGGCATGCTTCTGGTGCTCCCTGACCTACCGTGTCAGGCAATAGGCAGAACTGGTTCTGTTTTTCTAAACCTGGGCCTTTCGCTGTCACCTGAGCCATGGTTACCCTCTGCGATCGGCCACCCCACATGCCCCTCCTTCCGGGTGGCTCTCCTGCCTCCTCACCTTCCTACCCCAAGGGTTCCTGTGCCTTCCTGCCCAACTCTCTGCACTGCCTCCATGTGCACCCTGCACCTCCTTTAGGCCTTTTCAAACGCGTTCTCACCTGGCGGTCATTCTGTCATTTCATGGAGCTGGCAAGCCTGGGACCCCTTAGCAGCCGGCTGATGCCAAAGGGGAAGGTGATTCAGCTGGAACCGTGGGGCAGGCAGGGAGCCCCTGTCAGTCCGCCCATCCCGACTCCCCTGCAAGGGAGCCAGTTCAGAGGAAGGTCTGTTGGAGACAGCACCAAACACAGACCTGGAGATTTTTAATGCACATACAGGGTTTGCACAGGCTAGAAGGGGGCCTCAGGAGAGCCCCAGTAGGAGTGTGTCTTCATCAGACATCACCCGGCTGCCGCTGTCGGTCCGCTTCTCTGCATTGGGAATTGCAGCATCCACACCTGCCTGCGGAGCTGGGCCTCCTGCTGCCAGGGCTACCTGGCCTGAGTTAGTGCAGAGGCGCGCCCTCTGCAGGCTGGGGCATCTGCTTTCAGGCCCTCTCAAAAGGCCATGGACATCTGGAAGGAGAGGTTTGGATTCAGAGGCTTCTGGTGGTTCGGGGACGGGCCGGTTCTGGCTAGGGCCCTCCCCAACCCTTCTCTTGCCTTCCACACATCCCTGGACCCCAAGCAGCTGTGACTGCTCACAGATCCCGGGGCTCACCTAGTAGAGCACGCCCTCAAAATCCAGCTGCAGGTAGCGGAGCAGGCGCGGTGGCAGGGGGAGGCGGGGCAGCGCTTGGGGCAGGCTGCCCTCCAGGTGGGAGCGGAGCGCACAGCGGCTCAAATGCTGCAGCGACCTGGGCTGCCTCACCAAGGCGAAGAGGGAGGAGTAGAAACGCTGATGTTTCTGGGGGCAGAACAAGGGGCTCAGTGAGAGGCAGCCTCAGACAGGTAGCACCGGCTCCTCCTCACAGGGTAGGCTGGTGAGGGGTGGGGCATCTACCGGAAGGAACCTATTAGAAACAATGAATGTTTGAGTGTTCACTCTGCAAGTTCTCTCTTCTGGGACATGAGTGCA
This sequence comes from Homo sapiens, assembly GCF_000001405.40. Classification (NCBI taxonomy): domain Eukaryota; kingdom Metazoa; phylum Chordata; class Mammalia; order Primates; family Hominidae; genus Homo; species Homo sapiens. Next base: position 151,176,469 of record NC_000007.14, read on the forward strand.
TCTTTGGGTACTTTCTATGGGGGGCTGCGGTTTAGCGGGTGGGAGTCTTGGGACCAGGATGAGAAGCTCTATGTTCAGGGCCTTGGAATCTGACCTGCAGAGTTTCAGGAGTCACCAGGCCGACGGCCTCCTCGGGAAGCTGCACAACACTGTAGGTGTTCATCAGGACCTCGATGGTCCGAGGGCACGTGCTCCAGCGCTCCAGCACCTGTGGGAGGCAGAGGCATGTTGGGTCCTCAGTCAGTCCACACAGTGACCAGACAGCTCCAGAATAGTTGTTGTGGGTTGAACTTTGTTCCCCAAAAGATATATTGAAGACCTATCCCCCTGTACCTATGAATGGGACCTTATTTGGAAATAGGGTCTTTGCAAATGTTAATCAGGTTAAAATGTGGTCATTAGGGTGGGCCCTATTCAATATGACTGGTGTTCTTATAAGAAGAGAAAACAGAGGCACAGACACGGACACAGAAAAGAAGGCCACGTGATGACAAAGGCAGACAGTGGAGTGGAGTGACACATGTACAAGTCAAAGGACACCAAGGATTGTGGGAAACCACTGGAAGCTACAAGAGCACCATGGAACAGATTCTCCCTCAGAAGCTCCAGAAGGAGCCAGCCCTGCCCACATATGCATTTCAAACTTCCAGCCTCCACTGCTGTAAGGGAACTCCATTTCTGTTGCTTTAAGCTACCCACTTTGTGGTACTTCATTTGATCCAGGAAGCCAATACAGCAGCTAACCTTTCTATTGTGCATAACTCAGGCCAGATGATTTCTAGCACTTGACATGTATGAACTCTTCACTGTTGTCCCTGCAAGGGATGGACTGTTAATATCCCATGTTATTATCCCATTTCCTTCATTACAGCCAAGGGAAACTGAGGTACAGAGAAGTTAATTAACTTGCCCAAGTTGTGGTTCCCACAGTCCAGGCCTGGAAGCGTGACCCCTTGCCCTTAACCACACCACCATCCTGCTCTCCTCTCTGCCTCTACAAGGTTCTGGGCTGGGTTTTCTGCTGGCTGGAAGGGGTCCCTGACCTGTGGCTGGAGCTCCTGAGCAGATAAAAAGATCACAGAATCCATCCAATGCCAAGTGAGGGTAGAGACAGCTACAAGAGGGGGCCAGGGAGTGGGGTGGGGCTGGGTGGGGGACTCACAGAGGGAGGACTGGGCTCTGGAGGCAAGGGAACCCCAGAGCCTGGAGGGTATTCAGGGAGAAGGGACAAGGCAACCTGAGGCTGATGGACTGCCTGCAGGAGCAGGAGAGGATTTGGTAGGAGCAGGGGTGGAACCTAGTTGGAGCCAGATATATGCTTTCATTGGTTCATTCAGCAACTATTTATTGAGGGCCTACTATGTGCCAAGCACTTCGAATCCAGCAGTGGGGAAAATAAAGTCCTCGTCATCCAAGAGCTTCTATTTCAGAGGGAAAACATAATAAACACAGAAGTCATCACTCACAGATCTGCTGCTGCAATGAAAAATAAGAAGGAGCCGGGCGTGGCGGCTCATGCCTGTAATCCCAGCGCTTTGGGAGGCCGAGGTGGGTGGATCACTTGAGGTCAGCAGTTTGAGACCAGCCTGGCCAACATGGTGAAACCCTGTCTCTACTAAAAATACAAAAATTAGCCGGGCGGTAGTGGCATGCACCTTTAATCCCAGCTATTTGGGAGGCTAAGGCAAGAGAATCTCTTGAGCCTGGGAGGCAGAGGTTGCAGTGAGCCGGGATCGTGCCACGGCACGTGTGGGCGACAGAATGAGACCCTGTCTCAAAAGAGAAAAAAAAAAGTAGGGTCAGGGGACTGAGCATGGTTGGGGAGGGCACTGTCCTAGACGGAGTGGCCAAGAAAGGTCTCTGAGGTGGTGGTCCAGTGCAGCAAGCGGGCAAGCCACGCAGTGGAGCAGCCTGTGGACAGACCGTCCACGTGGTCAGAAAAGTGGCCTGACAGACACTGGCACTAAGACACCCGCTTGTGCCTGAACTCAGTACCTAAAGCAGATTTGTGCCTCCTCCACTGCACTCCACTCTCGCTGCATCTATGCAGGCGATGGCCACAGAGCCTTTTGAGATCTGAAAACAGCTAAGTATTGTCTTTCAGGCAGCATCTCACACACAACCCACATGTGGCCAAACACAATTGCATCTAGCGGTGGGGGTTTAACAGACTCTGTCTGCAAGGAGAGGAGACCCTTCTGTCTGTCAGACGAGAGTACCAATGAGCAGTGGGAGCAGAAGGCCTGGCCTTCCAGGGGTCCCTGGAGAAAGCATTTTACACACCTGGGGCCTCTGCTTCTAGCCCTGCATCTGAGCAGTGCTCATCAGTCTGTCCCGGGAGGCCTCTTTTCCTCACTCCTCCTCCAAGCTAGGGAAGAGCAGGCTGGTTCTCTCCAACTCTCCTCTCCACCTGCCCCTCAGGCCCGTCTCTGTCCTTCCTGGCCCATGTTGATCCCCACCTCTGCACTGGGCTCAAGTAGCTCGCTGTGTCTGGAATGCCTGCCTCTTCCTCCTCCTTCCCTTCAAAACTGCCCATCCCAGTCCTGCCTCCTCCAGGAAGCCCATGCAGCTACATCAACCTGCTTCACTCCCATGTCCAATGATACCCTCATTGGGATGATGCCAAGCAGCTTACCAAGTGCTTTCTCATACATTACATAACAAGAACAACACTAGCTAACAAGTGTTAAGCACTAGGCTTGATGTGTATTAACTCTTCTCACAGTAACCCTATGAAGAAGGCATAGTATCATATCCCTATGTTACAGATGACAAAACTGAGGCCTAGGGAGATTCAGCGACTTGCCGAAGGCCACACAGGTAGTGTGTCTGGCTCCAGAGCCTACACTCCTAGTCACCACTGAACTCAGAAGTTGCTGGGAGGACTGAGGAACTCCTGTAACAGGAAATACAGCTTAGAGCAGTGCCTGGTGTGTAGTCAAGGCTGTGCTTGCTCCGACTGTTCCCCAGTGCTCTCCTACAGCTTTCCATCCTGTTAGGGAGAGGCTGTATCACATGCAGTGACTTGCCTACACCCATACGAACAAGCATCAAAGTCACATCCTGGATCCAGGTCCCCTGAGCACCAAGTCTAAAGTGGTGGCTCCTAGAGAACCAGCTGGGGCTGGCATTTCATCACAGATGGGCGGTGGAGGCTTCTGTGCAGGGAGGACAGAAACCCCTCAGCTGGCAGGGCTGCAGATCATGGAAAGGGACAAATGGGGTACTTTGCTCTGCCAGCCCCTTTGGTCCCAGAGACAGGCTGAGAGGTGGAGCAGGGCTGTGGGGACCCAGGAAACCCTTTCGCTGCGCCGGGCCCTCCTCCCGCCCCTGCCTGCCAGGGAAATCATTAGCTGTCAGAGCTGCCGTCAGATTACAGGGAATTGCTTGTCTCCTAATTATCTAGTGTTAATAGGAGATTAATTAGTGTTAATTGTTGATTTTCTTGTATTTTCCCAAAGGGGAGACCAATCTGCCGAACTCTTGGGCTGTTTAATTATTTGGTCTTGCTTAGGAATCCAGACAGATGCTTCTAGGTTTGTGAGCAAAGGGGAGAGGCTGGGATAGCAGGGGTGGTCCCAGGACAGGCAAGGCTGGGTGGGACAACACTCTGGGCTGAGCCAGAGGGGAACTGCCTACTCAGAGGGTGGTTTCGGTTCTGAGCCATCTCCTCTGAGAACGGATGTCCCCATCCCAGACCCAGCGCCCTCCATGACATTATCTATGCCCCTCCAGACACGACACAGCATGGGGCAAGGCCCCCTCACAGGGCATCAGTAGCACAGGTCTTCAAGTTGAACCTACTTAGGGGAAATTAAGATAAAGTAGGATATAAATTGAAATTGACAGTGAAAGGCATGTTCACAGGTGCCAGGACAGTGGCAGCTGTTCTGGGGGCTGTGGGTCCTATTAGATTCTCAGAAAGTGGGACCATGTCCATTTACAGACATTCAGGGGACCTTGAGCCTCCTGAAACAGGCTCACCCTCTTCCCTTGGACAGCCTCTCCTGCATCTGTCACTGAACTGATCCCACTGCTAGTGGGAGCTTCCTCAAGTGCTATTTTCATCAGTTTGCTGTGCTGATGAAGACCCTTAAACAACGCCCACCACCCACATCAGCCCTGACTTCTTCTGTCTTTTTGGATCCTTTATCTAATCTGGCCCCACTGCCCCCAGTCCGCCTTTATCACACATGCACAGTATATACATGCACATACATGCATGAACACATGTATACACACGCACACCATGTATACACATGCACACACACATGCACACACACACATTTCCCACTGATCTGTGTCTTCACCTTGACCCCTATTTGGGCTTTGCTTACATGCTGAATGAAAGACAGACAGAAGGAACCAATCTATGTGCACAGGCCACATTCCAAAGCAAACCGGAGCACAGGCCCAGGTCTCCCTGTCCCCTCACCATGGTGGCCCTCCTGCTGCCTGCAGCCCCCATACCTTGGGGAGGGCCCCTGGCCAGACACGGACGGCGCCATGGTTGAGCAGAGCCCGAACCACGTGCTCGGGGCTCTGGGCCAGGGCTGCAGCTGGGCCCTGCAGAGCACAGTGCAGGGGCGTGTGTCCCCCATAGTCCATGGTGTTGGCGCTGACACCACAGGACAGGAGCAGCTCCACGACAGCTGCATGGCCACGGCGGCAGGCCAGGTGCAGGGGTCGCTGCTTGTCCTGGTCCGCAGCATCAGCGTCTGCTCCAGCTGAAAGCAGCAAGCTGCACAGCTGCAGGCAGCGGGCGGTGGTGGCCTCGGCATCGGTGATGGACTGGCAGCGGACGTCACAGGCAGCCAGCAGTGGGGTCCAGCCTTCGGCATTGCGGGCATCAGGACATGCCCCCCGTCTTAGAAGCAGATCTGCCAGCTCCACATGGCCAAGCCGGGCGGCCACATGCAAAGGGGTCTCCTCTTCTTCCTCGGACCGACCATCCACTCTCGCTCCAAACCTGAGGAGCAGCTCCGCACACCTATTGGGGGGAGACGGTGGTGGGGAGGAAAGCGGGCACGGACCCCTGGCAGGAACACACTTGGGTGGCTCTTGGTTCTGTCTCCCCCCACCCACCCTCCATCCTGCCCATCACTGGTCATCCTGGCACCATTCTGCAAGATCAACAGTGCCCTTCTTTTTTTTTTTTTTTTGAGACTGAGTCTTGTTCTACCACCCAGGCGGAAGTGCAGTGGTACAATCTCAGCTCACTGCAACCTCCACCTCCCGGGTTCAAGCGATTCTCCTGCCTCAGCCTCCAGAGTAGCTGGGATTACAGGCTCCCACCACCACGCCCGGCTAGTTTTTTGTGTATTTAGTAGAGATGGGGTTTCACCATGTTTGCCAGGCTGGTCTCAAACTCCTGACCTCAAGTGATCCACCTGCCTCGGCCTCCCAAAGTGCTGGATTATAGGCATGAGCCACTGTGCCTGGCCAACAGTGTCCTTCTTTAAAATCCAAATACTTTTTGTTGGGATAATCCACTAAATCATCCGTGGGAATAAACGTCACCAGCAGTTATCACATGAGTGGTTAGAACAGGCGCCTGCTAAGGGTTTTACGTGTTGTAGCTAATTTCATCCTCACTACATTCCCTTGGTAGGCTCTCTTAAGGCACTCATGCCACAGAGGAGGAAACTGAGGTTTGAGGATCTCATGCAAGTTGACATGGCTAGTAGGGGTAGGGCTGCTATTTGGGTTCAGGGGCAACAGGACTGTTGGGGGATCTGCATGCTGGGACTGGAGGAGGAAGGGGGCGTGGGGCCTGACAGTGGGCACACATGGAAATGGGGCAGTGGGATAAAGAACAAGACTGATTGGCTGGGCATGGTGGCTCATGCCTATAATCCCAGCACTTTGGGAGTCCAAGGCAGGTGGATCACCTGAGGTCAGGAGTTTGAGACCAGCCTGGCAAACACGGTGAACCCCCGTCTCTACTAAAGATACAAAAATTAGCCAGGTGTAGTGGTGGGCCCCTGTAATCCCAGCTACTTGGGAGGCTGAGGCAGGAGAATCGCTTGAACCTGGGAGGTGGAGACTGCAGTGAGCCGAGATCATGCCACTACACTCCAGCTTGGGTGACAGAGTGAGACTCCTTCTCAAAATAGAAAAATAAAAAATAAAAAAGACTGAAATTGGCCAACTGGATTTACTCCAAGATGGCAAGAAGCACAGGGAGTCACAGCAACGTGTGTGCCTCACTTCAGGGCTAACGGGACTTGGCCTCTTTGAGCTCCTGTTCCCTCGTGTGTAGAATGGGGATAATTATAACAGCTCCACCTTCCGAGGTGGTTGTGAGCAGCACGTGAGACGACCCCCAAAAACCTGTCATCGTAAGGGCTCAAAATGACGACACTTGGCAGGGGGAGTGGGAGGTATAGAGGGTGATGGATTGTGGGAGCTCATTTCATTATCCTGTCTGACTTTCTATATCTTTAAAAGTCTCCATAATAATTTTAAAATACATTTGTTTACTCACAAAGGAAGGAAGGATTATCACTGGGTGTGATCTCAGGGAGGCTGGTGGGAACATGGTCAGAACTAAAAATGTGGGATTATGTGGAACCTCACTATCCAGTGGTAGCCACTAGCCACCTGTGGCTATCGAGTTCTTGAAATGTGGCTAATCCTAACTGAGATGCGGTGTGTTATATGCTTGCCTTTTTTTCTTCTTCTTCTTCAGAAACAGAGCTGGCTAGGTGCAGTGGAGAATCACTTTAGCCCAGGAGTTCAAGACTATCCTGGGCAACAAAGTGAGACCCATCTCCACAAAAAATTAGCTGGGAATGGTGGCATGGGCCTGTAGTAGTCCCATCTACTCTGTAGGCTGAGGTGAGAGGATTGTTTGAGCCAAGTAGTTTGAGGCTGCAGTGAGCTATGAACGTACCACTGGACATCCAGACTAGGTGACTGAGAGAGACCCTATCTCTCTCTCTTTTTTTTTCTTTTGAGATAAGGTCTCTCTCTGTCACCCAGGCTGGAATACAGTGGCGTGATCTCCACTCACTGCAACCTCCGCCTCACAGGCTCAAATGATCCTCCTACCTCAGCCTCCTGAGTAGCTGAGATTACAGGTGTGCACCACCATGCCTGGCTAATTTTTGTCTGTTTGCTTGTTTGTTTTTTTGAGACGGAGTTTCCCTCTTTCGCCCAGGCTGGAGTGCAGTGGCACAATCTTGGCTCACTACCACCTCCACCTCCGGGGTTGAAGGGATTCTCCTGCCTCAGCCTCCCGAGTAGCTGGGATTACAGGTGCCCGCCACCATGTCCAGCTAATTTTTGTATTTTTAGTAGAGACAGAGTTTCACCATGTTGGCTAGGCTGGTCTCCAACTCCTGACCTCAGGTGATCCACCCGGCTCGGCCTCCCAAAGTGCTGGGATTACAGGCGTGAGCCACTGCGCCCGGCCTCAATTTTATATTGATTACATGTCAACATGATAACACTTTGGATATGTTGTGTTAAATAAAATATAATTAATTTAACCTGCTTCAAAGATATTTGTACCCACATGTCCACAGGAGGATTACTCCCAATAGCCAAAATGTGGAAGCAACCCAAGTGTCCCTCAACGGGTGAATGAATAAACATTCAATAAAAATGTGCTATACACATATAAAGGAGTGTTATTCAGCCTTAGAAAGGAAGGAAATTCGGCCGGGCGTGGTGGCTCACACCTGTAATCCCAGCACTTTGGGAGGCCGAGGTGGGTGGATCACAAGGTCAGGAGATCGAGACCATCCTGGCTAACACGGTGAAACCCCGTCTCTACTAAAAAATACAAAAAGTAGCCGGGTGCGGTGGTGGGCGCCTGTAGTTCCAGCTACTCGGGAGGCTGAGGCGGGAGAATGGCGTGAACCCGGGAGGCGGAGCTTGCAGTGAGCCGATATCACGCCACTGCACTCCAGCCTGGGCGACAGAGTAAAAAAAAAAAAAAGAAAGGAAGGAAATTCTGAAACATGGGACAACATGGGTGAAGTCTGAAGACATCATGCTAAGTGGAATAAGCCAGTTACAAAAGGACAAATACCACATGATTCCACTTATGTGAGGTCCCCAGAGTGTTCACATTCAGAGACAGAAAGTAACATAGTGATTGCCAGGGGCTTGGGAGACAGGGTGGGGTGGGTGGTTAGTGTTTGATGGGGTTAGAATTTCAGTTTGGGAAGATGAGAAAGTTTGGAGATGGATGGTGGCGATGGTTGAACAACAACATGAATGTGCTTAATGCCATCGAACTGTACGCTTAAAAATGGTTACAAAAGGCCGGGCACGGTGGCTCGTGCCTGGAATCCCAGCACTTTGGGAGGCCGAGGCGGGCAGAACACGAGGTCAGGAGATTGAGACCATCCTGGCTAACACTGTGAAACCGCGTCTCTACTAAAAATACAAAAAATTAGCCAGGCATGGTGGCGGGGGCCTGTAGTCCCAGCTACTCGCGAGGCTGAGGCAGGAGGATGGCGTGAACCCGGGAGGCGGAGCTTGCAGTGAGCCGAGATCGCACCACTGCACTCCAGCCTGGGCGGCAGAGCAAGACTCCGTCTCAAAAAATAAATAAATAAATAAAAAATGGTTACAAAGGCAAATTTCATGTATATTTTACCACCATTTTGAAAATTAATTTTACATATTTGTCTTTTTTTTTTTTTTTTTGTGAGACAAAGTCTCACTTTGTCTCCCAGGCTGGAGTGCAGTGGCGCAATCTAATCTCCGCTCACTGCAACCTCCACCTCCCAGGTTTAAGCAATTCTCCTGCCTCAGCCTCCCGAGTCGCTGGGATTACAGGCGCCTGCCACCACACCCAGCTAATTTTTGTATTTTTAGTAGAGACAAGGTTTGGGCATGTTGGCCAGGCTGGTCTCGAACTCCTGGCCTCAAGCAAGCCACCTGCCTCAGCCTCCCAAAGTGCTGGGATTACAGGTGTGAGCCACCGTGCCCGGCCATTTGTCATTTTTTTTATAGGGCTGCTAGAACACTGTAAATTGCATATATGGCTCACATTAGGTTTCCACTGGGCCACGCTAGTAAAGAACACATCTTCAACCATAGTATGATTAAGCCTGTGGAATCCTCTAGAGGCTGATGAGATTAACAAGAAGGAGAGGGTCCATGAAAGGAGAACCCCAGGGTCAATAATTTGGCACCTTTCAGAGGCAAGAGACAAGACCTGCAGGTGTGCAGTCAGTAGAGAGAGGGCCTCTATAGGATGTAGAGTTAGTTCACAAAATTGTAATTGGGATCCCATCCTACAACGTTCCTTACACTTGGGTTGCAATTATTTATGTCACTGCAAAGGACTATTCCCTACAATAAATGATACATTGGCACATTTGGGTGTATTCATCAGTTTCTTGGGAGTTTAGTTAGTGAGAGTCCCTTGAGCCCATGATCTGAGGGTGCCCTACCAATATGGAGATTCTAGACCTGTCTTGGAAAACCAGACCCTACCCAGAGGGACCCAGGCAGGTCCTCACTGGGGCCACCATCCTCTACTCCCTGTCTGGATCACTGGACAGTAAGCTCCCTGAGGGCAGGGCCTCAGGGACTTAGTTGCTGTTGTGCTTAGCACAGTGCCTGGAACATAGGATAAGCTCAGAAAGTGTTTTCAAAAATTTTAAGCAACACCACCTCCCCATAATGGAGCCAGGCAATTTCCCAATGCGGGCCATGCAACTGCACCCCTGCCACAGCCTCCCTCCACCCCTGGGAGACCAGAAAACTGTCCAAAGTCCAGGCCACTCCAAAGTTCATGGGGTCAACGGGTGGATGGCTTGGGAAGTAATTGCACCCTGACCCGCGCCCCAAGCCTGGACTGCTCTGTCCCAGGTCCCTGACATTTTCCCCCATCCTCCCTGAGAAGGCCTCTTTGCTTCCCTTCAGAGTGGAACTGGGGGTTGGGGTGAGGGGTCACTCACTCAAGGGTGCCAGGCCCCCGGCAGAGATGCAGGGGGCGTTTCCCATCCTGGTCAGCGATGTTGGGGTCGGCTCCTGCCACCAGCAGCACATGAACACAGGCAGTGTGGCCTGCAGCACAGGCCTCGTGCAGGGCGGTGCGGCCCCCAGGGGCACTGTCTGGCCTTGCTCGCCGCCTCAGCAGCAGCCGCAGGACTTCCGTGTGGCCACGGCTGGCTGCCACATGCAGTGGGGTGGTCAGCTCCTCTTCGTATGTCAGAGACCAGAGTCCTAGGGAGGGGAGACGTGGGCCTCAGATCCCCAGGGAAGGCAGAGACCTTCCAGCCAATGGGGTGAGGTGGGCAGAGGCAGGAAGAGGGAGCCCAGAGCTCCATCTGCAGCCTCCCCTCTCTCCCACTGAGAGCCCCCAGTGCCCCGGCCCGTACTCAGAGCACGGATGTTGAAGCGGAAATCCCTCCATCGCTCTGGGTCGCTGGTATCAAAGACGGAATCAGGAGCCAGGCCAGTACTGGAGTCCGCGAGGATGCGGGAGACACAGCCCACGTCCCCAGCCAGCACTGCCTGCCAGAAGGCAAGGGCAGGTCCTGAGGCTGTGCGGGTGACGATGGGTCCCGGGCCAGACTTGAGGTGCTCCTCAGACCCTCTGCTGGGCTTCTCCACCAGCCTGGCACAGAGGGGGTGTCTGTCATCGAGGGGCTCTCCCTGCCCCTTGCACTCTTCTGGAGACCAACTCATGAGCATGTGGGCAGGGAAAGGGGAGTGGGGAGGAGGAGAGGTATATGCCAAAGGCAGAGAGAGAGAGAGAGAGCAGGAGGGAAATACAGACAGACAGAAGGCCCCTGTGTCCCACGCTCCGAGGCTGACCTGGCCACGCATCCAGCAGGAGCTATTCTGGGCTCCACATGACTGTGTTCTTGGGCCAAGGTGTAGGCTATTGGGCAAGCTTTGAGGTCGGGGAGAAACAGCCGGGGGCTTCTCCTTTCACTCAAGCCCTTAGGACCTCTGTGGCCGAGGCAGTCAGCCCAGCCCCCTGGTTCTCAGCAACCCCCAGATGCCCCTCACCCCTCTGGTGGCTGCTCCAGCGAGGCTCTGCGGCCCGGCTCTCCAGCAGCAGGTCGGCTGTGCTGTGCGGGGGGAACAGCTCCTGCAACCTTGCCAGGTCCCCGGTGTAGAGGGCATTCTGCAGGGCCATGTCTTGGCAGAGCAGTGGTGATGGCCGAGGGGGCTCCCAGGCTGGGCGGGAGTGGGGCCTCCAGATCCGGCAGGCCGGGGCGGAGGGAAGGCACCCCAGATGGTGTCCCCAGTGGGGAGAGGAGTTCTTTCCCCAGGGCATGGCTTGTTCTGGGAGAGCCAAAGCAGCACGACTCCCAGCGATGTTGCTGGTGGACTGGGCAGGTGGGTGCTGGGCCCGAGCTGGGTGGGGCCCAGCATGGGAGGCGCAGGGGAGCACAACATCAGGCAAAGCCATAAATAGCCCTGACTGGCCCAGCTGTCAGTCAGGCCGGGTGGGGGAATTAGGGAGGGGCAGGAGAACAAGTGAGGCCTGAGCCCGCCAACCCTGAGCTTCACCCCAGGGCTGTATGACCTCAGGGTGGAAAGGGACCACCCGGACCATGCTGCCCAGTCCGTCATCTCGGCATTAAAGGGAAGTGAATTTCCCAAGATCACGCAGAGAGCTTGTTGCAGAGCCAGGACTGGAACCCAGGGCCTTGAGCTCTTTCTTGTTCACCAAATCGGCCTCCAGCTGCCTGGGCTCTGATCCCACTGGGAAGGCCTGTGGGTGCCAGATAATATTTCCTGCCCTTCCAAATGTCATCTGTTAGCCCTGCACCTTCCCACTCCCAAACCAAGGGAGGAGTTCACAGTAGTGACACAGATTGCCCTCGCTGTGTGAGGCACCCCTCAGGGGGCTCCCTTAGACAGACGTGTGCCTGAGTAACAGAGCGTAACCCACAGGCAAGCCACAGAAACTCCCCATGCTCGTCCTTGATGCCAACCCCCCCATCTCCCTGGATGACCTTGGGTGGCATCTCTCCCCTGCTGTGGTTACATGGGGTCTCTTCACTAGAGAGTGAGAAAGGAGAAATGTCTCTGTGTACTCAGGCACTGACTTTTGTTTGGGGGCCGGGTGGATCAAAAGGAAAAAAAGAGAGAAAGAAGATGAGAAACCAGGCCCTCGGGCTCAGCTCTGACCCACCACTGCCCACCATGGGCTTGAGGTGCTCCAGCCCCATTGGTCTTGCCCCTTTGGCTCACGCTGGCTTAAAAAAATTTTTTTAAATCAATTGCTTTTTAAAAAGTTTCATTTTTAATTGACAAATAATTGTATATATTTATGGGGCTATAATATTTTGATACATGTATATAATGTGTAATCATATCAGGGTAATTATCACATCTATCAAATGATATTTACCATTTATCTGTGGTGAGAACATTTAAAATCCTCTTTTAGCCATTTTGAAATGTACATCATTATTCACTACAGTCGCCTTGCTGTGCAATAGAACACCTGAACTTATCCTATTTACCTGTAACATCATACCCACTGACCAATGTCTTCCCTTTCCCTTTCCCTGTCCACCTCCCTCGAGCCCCCAGCCTCTGGGAATCACCATTCTACCCTTTACTTCTATGAGTTTGACTTTTTTAGATTCCACAATAAGCAAGATCATGCGGTATTTGTCTTTCTGCACCTGGCTTATTTCACTTAGCACAATGTCCTCCAGATACACCACATTTAAAAATCCATTCATCTATTGATGGACACCAGTTGTTTCCATCTCTTGGCGATTGTGAGTAGTGCTGCAGTGGACGTGGGGGTGCAAACCCCTCTTCTGCATGCTGATTTCAATTCCTTTGGGTATATACCCAGTAGTGGGATTGCTGAATCATAAGGTAATTCTAGTTTTAGTTTTTTGAGGAACCTTCATTCTATTTTTCAAAATGGTACTAATTTACAACACCACCAACCATGCAGAGTCCCCTTTTCTCCGTATCCTTGCCAACACTTATCTTTCATTTTTCAATAATAGCCAGTCTAACAGGTGTGAGATAATATCTCATTATGGTTTTTGATTCACATTTCTCTGATTACTAATGTTGAACATATTTTCCAATATATGTTGGCCATTTGTATGTCTTCTTTTGAGAAGTGTCTGTTCAAGTCCTTTGTTCATTTTTTAATGGGGTATTTTGTTGTTGTTGTTGTTATTTAGTAGTTTGAGTTCCTTGTGTAGTTTGGATATTCACCCCTTATCCGATGTTTGATTTGCAAATATTTTTTTCCCAGTCTGTAGATTGTTTCTCCACTCTGTCATTTCCTCTGCTGTGCAGAAACCTTTTAGTCTGGTACAATCCCATTCATCTACTTTTGCTTTCATTGCCTGTGCTTTTGAGGTCATATCCAAGAAATCTCTGCCCAGACCAATATCATGGAGCTTTCCCTTATGTTTTCTTCTAGGGGTTTTATAGTTTCAGGTCTCCTGTTGTCTCTTACTACCTGTGGACACACCTTGGCCTTCATCCACACACTGTGTACATGGTCCATGGGTCTGCCTCTTTCAAGAGAACACTCTGGGGCTCACCAGCCCTTGGTGGTATGGTTGCCCCTGCTCCCTAAGTTCTCTGACCCCGTTCTCCCCTGAGCTGTTCCCTCCCCAGCAAGGGGAAACCCACAGATGGACTCCCACCCCAGGGGCAGGAGGCTCTATCCCATTGAGCCCTGAGGGTTAGGCTGTGGTCAGAGGATGCAGTGCACAGCTGGGGCAGGCAGAGTGCCAGGGGACAGGTCTTTAGAGGAAAGAGATGAAGGCCACTCTGAGAAACTGGGTCGATCCAATGCTGCTCTCCCATGTCCATTGCAGCATTGGGTCTACTAGCAGCCCTTACCCTAGTCACAAAGCCCTACCGCTTCCCCACACCTCTGCTGAGCCCTGCTTCCCATCCTGCCCCCGCCACTCCCCAAGCACCTCTCTGCCCTGACTTCCCAGACACTTTTGCTACAATAGTCAAACCCTAGAGTAAAAGGGACCTTAGAAATTCCTGGTCCAATCTCTCTCTGCTTTATAAGTAAGAAAACTGAGGCCCAGAGACAGGAAAGCACTCTCCAGGTCACACAGGGAGTTAGTGCCAAGTGCATTTAGAACCAGGGACAGTTAACTTCCAGACCTGTGCTTTTTCTATCTGACTGCAGACCTTCCTTCTCCCTACTCTTCTCTTTCCCTCTCTCCTCTTCCTATTTTTTCTCCCTTAAATACCTCAAGGAGGAAGAGATTCAGGGAGCCAGGATAGGACAATGACAAGGAGATGAAGACCTGGAAGTGGGGGCTGAGGACAGGGATCTAGGAGGCAGAGCAAGGAGGTGGCAGTGAGCTGGCAAGGGCCAGGGCCCAGGAGAGAGGTGTGGGCTAGACAGCGCCAGGCACAGGTGGGGGCACAGAGGGAAGGGTGGGAAGACACGGACATGGATGGACAAGAAGAGTTTGTTCCCAAGTCATCTGGGCATTTATGCCTCTGCCCCATCCCTTTACCCTTGGGCCACTGCCCTGTCCCACGCCACTAATCTCAGGTGCCCGCAAGCCTTAGCCATCACTTCCTTTTCTTCTTCTCCTTGTCCAGCTTGGCCTCCTCGGCCTCCAACTGGTCCATCCTGTGTTTCATGCTCTTCTTGCCCAGTGGGGTCTTGAAGTACCAGTCCTGGGTTGGTGGGTACAGGAGTGGTAAGGCCCTCAGACCCATCCTGACCTCACCCCTCCCCCTTTTACAGATTGTTTCCTCAGCAGCCTCTTCTCCTCTCCTCCTGGGTTTGGGGGTCCTATTAGTGCTGGGGTTTCCCTTGCTCCCCACCAAATGCTTCAGGTACAATGTCAGCCGTTCTTAGTGGGCAAGCCCTCTTCCCTCCACACCTGCAGCCCTCTCTCCTGCATTCCCAAGGCCATCCTTGGCAGGGGCACTGACTCGGGGGTGGGAAAGGTGGGTGGCAGCTGCTACCAGAACCCACAAAGGGCTCCTGATACCTCGGTGGTTCTTGCAAGCTCCCACCCTCAGGGAAACCAGGTGGGACGGCCCCGAAGCCTTGGCATTTCCTGGTGATTTCCTGCTCCCTTCCCAGCTGAGCTCCACACACATTTCCACTGATTGTCTTCTGGTAATTTGTGGGAGCAGAGAGAGGGGTCCGAGTTGTGCTTCAGGGGGCTGACTCCCCAAGGGCGCTGCTTACCCACAGCCCCTGGCCCTGCCACCTCACCTTCAGGGACTCCTCCTCCTCCCTGTACACTGGATCCAGCTTCACCAGTTGTCCCAGGAACTCAGAGGCCACCAGGGGCCGCTTGGACAGTTGCAGGAACCGCCGCTCACTCAGCACCGATTGGATGGCTTGGAGAATGTGACCCGGCGTGTAGCCATCGGAGACCTTGGCTAGGGCACTGATGTCCAGGTGCTGGGTCGGCTGGATGCCCCGGGCCTCTATCATACGCTTCCAGAGCACTGCAGGCATGTGGAAGACATGGGGCCTGGAGGGGCAGTGGGCACCAGGGAGGGGCAACAAGGCCTGAGCAGCCCCCGCCTGGATCTGGAAGGAGTTTTGTGCTCCGGGGAGCAGCTCCACATCCATCAGCTCCCCTTCCCCAGGGAAGGTACTGGATCTCAAGCTAGGCAAGGGTCATCCTCCCAACTCAACCCGAGGAATTAGAGCCTCGGAGGACATAGACCACCTGCTCGCGTCCACAGAGCCAAAGCCAGGACCCAGGCCACTGGGCTGCTTGTCCAGCAGCCCTTCCAGAAGACCGGGCTGTGGGGGTGAGGGCTCGCAGCAGCAATGGGGTATGGGGCGGGAGGTGGGCAGGCTTTGGTAGGCGCAGCCGTCCCCACATCCCCAGGCCTCACCATAGCGGGATGCGTAGTCAGGCCGGGGCATGAAGAGGATCCGCTCGTAGACCCGGCACAGACCCCGCATCTCGGCCAGCTGTGGCCGGGAGGTTGTCCCAATCAGCATCACACGGTCTCCGGGAGTCAGCAGCCGCAAGGCCTTGGTGAGGTCCTTCTTTATCCGCTTTGGGTCCATCTGCTCCAGGGGAGGAGGGAGGAGTGGTGGGGCTGGGGCACAGTGGCCCAGCGTATGGGGCTCCCAAGTTCTCAGAGCCCACCCCACCCTCAGCCTCACCTCAGCCCTAGCGGGATGAGGAGGCTGCCCATCCTGCTTTGAGACAAGGAAACTAGGTGTGAGGAGTAGAGGGGCATGTGCAAGGCCCCAGTGGTTGGGGTTTGGAGCGACTGGAACAAGCCCAGGCCTTCCAGCTTAGCCCCAGCTCACGCTACCTGCCCACACGGCCTTCACATCCATGCTCCCTCACCTCCTTGTCTTCTTTGGGGGTCTTCTTATAGAAATTCTTCTCAGCATTTCCAATCCAAATCACAGAGGGCTGTAGGAGTCGGGCTACCTGGATGGGTCAGAATGTAGAAATCAGATGTTAGATGTCTCTGGAGAAGGGTCATGTCCCTGCTGGTCAGAAGGCAGGATGAGGGCCGGCCTTGAGCAGGGGCTGACCTTGGAGCCCCGTCTCCACTCCCCACACCTGGAAGTCCCACCTCCCAGCCTGCTGCTGCACATATCTCACACCTCAGGGTAAACTGAGTCACTGCCCCCCATGGGGGAGCTGCATATTCAGTCTCATCCTACCATGAAAAGAAACTGCTCTGTGTCCTCCCTTTTCCCTTCATTCCCCCACCACAGGGGCTGCAGGGGGAACCCAAGCTCCTAGCCCGGTTGGTAGGGAGACCTCACCAGTTCAGCACCTGAAATCATACCCAGTAGGCTGATGGGTGACGTGACCTCAAAGCCCCCCTCCTTTGTTGCCACAGGTCTGAGAACCGCAAATGCCAAAAGCTGGGGGCTCCGGACCTTAAAGACTATATGCACCATCATCTGTGCCCCATTCCTGCCAGGATATTTGCCCAGCAGGTTTTCCGGCGACAGGTCGAACAGGTTGGCGCCAGTTTCTGTGCACACTGCCTTGACCAGCATCTTCTTCCCCATGCCAGAGGGGCCCACCAGGAGGATGGAGCGGATGAGTGGGGCCATGATGTGGATATCCGGGGAGCCTGAGAGCAAGGAAATGGGCCAGAGCCAGGCAACAGGTCAGCAGCAGGAATCAGGGCTGGAGATGACTGCGTAAGGTCAGGCCAAGGGCCTAGGGCTGGGGGAGGAGGTGCAGATCACAGGGCATACTACCTTCCCCAACACCAGCAGGTCCCCTAGTCCACTAGGTCTGGGAGCCGGGAGTGGCAGCAGGAAATTTTGAATGGCTTATGAGTCTCCAGTATGAGGAGTTGTGCATGGGTCTGGGAGGAGCCTGCTACCCCCACTAATGCCCTTTCTGTTTTCCATTCCATCTGCTTCCACTCCTGGATTATGAGTGGTGGAACTGAAAGGCACGGGACACGGGAGGTGGAGTTTGCAGTGAGCTGAGATTGTGCCACTGCACTCCAGCCTGGGCGACAGACTGAGACTCTATCTCAAAAAAAAAAAAAAAAGGAAGGCATGGGATAAATCACTTCAGAAAGCTCTTCAGCTCAGGGGGTATAGGGCTGGTGGTCTTCTGGGAGCAGAACAGACCCTGGGTTGTCCCTTGGGATTGAGTAAGGGGCTGGCAGCGTGGGCTCTTTCAGCAGGTCAAGGGCCCACCTGATTTCTGGAGTGGCCCAATCTGGGTGTGACCTCCAGCAGGGCCTGGGCAGGGCAGGAGGACCTGGGGCTTGGAGGCCCAGGCTGGACATGTCCACCTCAGCCACCCTACCCTGACCCCAGCCCTCACCCCAAGGGCTGCCTGCCCAGAGCTGGCTCCTCACACCCCCAGAGCCTCTCACCAAGCCGAAGGACCGCATACAAAGCCACATTCTGTCGTATGTCAAACAGGGATGGCATGGGCAACTTCTTCACCAAACTCAGAGTGGATCCAAGATACAGGAAGTCACCTGTGGCGATAGGCAGCCACTGAGTGACAGGCACACTCTCCGAGTGGCAATCAGGTGATCAGCCACAGGGAAGGCGGGGCTGGTGGATGGGGGTAGGGGAGCCTTGGCACCTGGCCACAGAGTGGGAACAGGCATTCTGGGAGGGGTCTCACCTATGTAGTCTTTCAATGCTACTGACTCACTCTTCCTTAGAAGGCCAGAAATAACAAGCTCTTCGTACAGAGACTCCACAGACCTGGCAGAGGATGGCACAGGAAGACCCCCACCACCACAAGGGACATTAGCAAGTGAGAACACAGGGAAATGGAGGCAGAGATGGGGGCTGTTGTCATGAAGACAGGGTATCAGTGGTTCTCCTGTACAACATTCTGTGGTCAAAAACATCTACAGTGCCTGCAAACAGGCAGAATCAGGTATGGCACCAAATCACTGTCCCAGGAGGCAAGCCTCCCCCAGTGGGTGCTCTGTAAGAGGGGTGTGAGGGGGACAGGGGCCTCTGTGACACTCATTAGTCTGCCCCCTGACCAAAGGTCCACCATTAGAAATCCAGTCATTTGAGTTAAGCATTGCCCTCTTCTTAGAAACTACATTTAAGACGTGAGTGCTCCTGGGAGAGACAGACATTAAATTCAAGCAGCTGACGTCAAGTCGCTTGTGAGCTCTCTTTACCAGACAAGTCAGCAGGAAGGGACCACTGACAAGTCCCTTAATGTCTCAGAGTGGGAAGTCCAGGGGGAAATGACTTTGGCAGAGACAGAGCTGGTTAAGGCAAAGGTTGGAGGAAGGATCTGGAAGTGGAGAGCAATGACCTGATTATAAACTCCATTGAGATCTCGCTCTGCATCTCACGTACAGAGCCCTTTCTTGTGCCTTTGCTTGATCCCCACGGCTATCACCTGAGTTTGGCAGGGCAGGTACTTGGTGAACGAGGCCAGGGAGTCAGAGAGGGAAAGCGACTTTCCCAAGGTCTCACAGCAGCAGAGCCAGGACCTGCAGTCAGGTCCCTGGACTGGGACTTACTCCACCACCACCACCATGCAAAGTGGGCACGACAGGGTCCTGCTACCTGTCTGAGGTCAGATCTTTTTCCTTCTTTTTCCCAGTTTTCTTCCCAGGTGTTTTCTGGTTGGAAACGAGTGCGTAGGTCACTGTGCCCTGTTCCTTGCCTCCCTGTGTGCCCTCCCCTGCCCAGCCCCAGCCCCTCATCTTGCCTTTGGAGCCCTCAGGGGTCTTTCTTCCTCCTTGTCCACAGCCAGACGGAGCTTCCTCAGCTCCTGACGCATCAGCTCATCCACCTAGGGGAGACAGCCGAGGTGTGGCGGGGTGGCCTGGGGCTGGGAGGACAGGTGGGAGAGGAGCAGGCAGGCAGGGATGGGAAGGAGGGGAGGAGCCTTACAGAAGAGCCCAGTGAGCCCGATGAAGGCAGTAGGGACAGCCCTGATGCCTTCCCGAACATTCCTCTGCATTCCTCCCTCCCTCCTGGCACCTGTTCACACCCAGGCCTAATCCTCTTCCTGCTCTCTCAGGAGCCCTGTTCTTAACAGCCTTCAACATGCGGAGAAGCCCCCAGATGGAATTCAAACCGAAGATCCCCCGCTGAGGTCTTTGTGACCTAAATGATTGCATAACCGCTTAGCCTCAGTTTCCCGTGTGTACCATCAGGAAAACCACGGTACTTTCCTCATGGGTTGTGTGAAAGATCACATGACTGAACACTCCTGAAGCCCACGGCATGGGTGGGACACGTCGTCAGAGGGTTCCTGAGGATGGTGGGGGGGTGTGGACACCCTGGCTCCGAGCCCCTCCCATACCCTCCACACCCCTGCTGCATTAGCCCTGGAAGAAAGTGGGACCGGGGGAGGCAGAGGAAGGTGGGAACTGACGTGGGCAGCAGGTGGAGCTAGGACCATGCATGGAGGCAGCAAAGTCTACCGAGGATGAGCTGGGGACTGGGGTTGGGTGTTCAGGACAAGAGAGAGGCAGAGAAATGGGTGGGGAGGAGCCTGAATCTGGCTGGAAATGTGGGTTATGGGGGAGGGTACAGGGTGGTGGCCTGCAGGGAAGCCCTGACCCTGTGCTCACACCTGTATCCGGATCTCCAGCTCCACCTCTTTCCTCTTCTCCTCCCGGAGGGTCTCGGAGTCATAATTCTGACTGGGGTGTATGCTCTCACACCGGTTCTTCCATGTATCTGACCGCAGAGAATGGATGGATGCGTGAAGGTCAGAGTGCCGGGTGCATACACACATGCATTCATGCGTGCACAAGCACATGCACACATACGTGCACACAGACACATGTGTGCACACAGGTCAGGAGCCAGGCCCTGGCTGGTTGCCTTGTCCCCACCCACCAGCCTGGCATTGCTTCTACCCAGACGGCAAATAGGCTTGACCCCAAGGCCTGTGGCCACAGAATTCAGACCCAAATCTGTAACGCCCCCACCCGAAGAAGCACACCATACCTCCCTCTCCTCATTTGGTGTTGTCCCCTTTGCCTACACACCCACACTGCCACTTCATGGTCCGTGTGCAGACACCCACTTTCTCCAGGACCCAGGGCCCCAGGTCCCACAAGGCACAGACACTCTTCCCCAGCCATCTCCCCTCTTACTTAAGTATTCTTCATGCCCGGCACAGATCATAGGGATACATTTGGATGGCAACACTTGCAACACCGCATCCACTTCCTAGAATAGAAACATTCTTTGACCTTGACTTCCTCACCTCTGCCTAGCACAGACTCTGGCCCTAATCTTACCTGAACCCATCTTCCTACCACGAGTTCCCCCACACCTTCTCCTCCCTGTCCCTCACACCATGCATCCGAGAGGTATCTTACCCCCTTCTTGGCCTTTTCTTCCTTTCCTTTCTTCTTCTCTTTTTCATCCTTTCCTTTTTCCTTGCTCTTCTCTTGTTCCTTTTTTCTGTTCTCTTGCATCTGCATTTCCAGTTCCATTCTCACCTGTGACCAATGACCCAAGACATTTCAGAGAAGATCAAGGGGATTTTACAGAAGAGAGCCCTGGGTTTTACAGAAGAGAGCTGGCGATCTCTCAGGCTCAGGGCCTGATACTGGGGTGAACCAACGATTCCCTAGGCCTAGAGTAACTGATGGGGTCGGGACAGCTGAGCATGCAGAGACTCCTTTGGGGTCCAAGGAGAAAGGGTGCCCAAGAAGGAGCGTTCTGGTGAGAGCCACTGTTCTCTCTTGGGCCACGGGATCTGGAGCCACTGCAGTCTACCCAGACATCCTTCCTTTCCCAGCCACAATGCCTGCTCCAGCCGCAGCTGCTCCTTGCTCCTCTTCCCCATGCCGTCTTTCTAGCTGCCTGCATTTCCCCCAGCCACCTCTGCCTCCATTGAGGCTGACCCCCTACCCCACCCCACTCGCTATTCTCTGTAGCCTCAGGCTCCACCTGCCACAAAAAACCATCTGCCCCACCTCCAACAGGGTACCTGTTCTGGCGTTTTGTCTGCAAAGATTGAGTAGGATCCACCTGAAGACGCATCTGGATAATCAGGGAACCGGCCAGTAAGGTCACTAAGTGAACAAAAGATGATTGGACAGAAAGATGAATAGATGGATGGACAAATGGATGGATGGATAGGTAGACAGAGAGGTGGGTAGAAGGGTTGGTGGATGGATGGACAGATGGATAGATAGATGGAGAGGTAGGTAGAAGGGTGAGTGGGTAGATGGGCAGATGCATGAGTGGATAGATGGAGAGGTGGGTAGAAGGGTGGGTGGGTGGATGAACAGATGGAAGGATAGACAGAGAGGTGGGTAGAAGGGTGGGTAGATGTGTGGATGGATGGATGGGGAGATGGAGAGGTGGGTAGGTGGGTGGGTGGATGGACAGATGGATAGACAGATGGAGAGGTGGGTAGAAGGGTGGGTGGGCAGATGGGCAGATGCATGGGTAGATAGATGGAGAGGTAGGTAGAAGGGTGGGTAGGTGGATGGGCAGATGGACAGATGGAAGGATAGATAGACAGTTGGGTAGACGGGTGAGTGGATGGATGGATAGGTAGATGGAGAGGCGGATAAAAGGGTGGGTGGATGGATGGAGAACACCAGAGAAAAATAAAGGACCAGGGTGACGGAGGGAGAGGTGGGAGAAATGGATTGTTACAAACAGGAGGACAGATCACTCAGGGGGCATCCATGGGTGCTTTCCCCACCCTATTCTGGCACTTTCTCTCCCTTGTGGAATTGAGAAGTCAGGTGTGGAGATGGTCCTGTACACTGGGGGCCCAAAGTTGTTGAAACCAAGAGGGTCAGCAGTGTGTTGGGGACCTGGGGGTAGAGGAGAAAAGGCCCCATCTGGACTAGAAGGCAGAACCCATGCAGGGGATGGGGCAGGAGCAGCCCTGAGGGACCCTGAGCGAAGGGAATGAAGGATGGAGGGTAGGGTCAGCTGAGGACACTGACTGGCACTCGATAAACCACTGTCGGATTTGCTCCTTCATTTTCTCCTTCATGTCAGGCCCCTCTGTCTCTACCAGAGAATCATGGGCCTTCACCATTGCTGCCCGGAACTCCTCCTCTTTCTCCATCTGGCGGAGCCTCTGGACATCCTCCACGAGGCATGGCTGGGAGATGATGCTCAGGTGCTCTACCTGGTTGGGTGAGGGGAGCTGGGGGAGTGGAAGAGAGGCTGAGGGGCTCAGGAGTGGGAGGAACCAGCAACCAGTCTGGATGCAGCCCCCAGCCTCGGGCACACACGCCTGTACCCACTCCTTCCCCAACACCACGCTCACACAAGGCCTCACACACACACCCACACGGAACAACGGGCATGCCTGCATCGGGAGAAACTGTGTTTGGAGCCGAATTCGTCTGTGTAAATTACTCTAATAATGAGTCTGCTAGATGCATCCAGGCTGTCCCCTGCCCGATTTCCCCAGCACACCCTCCCCTGGAGCCTCCGGCCCCAGCCCCCGCCTGCACCCCCGCCCCGCGGCCGAGTTGGCAGCCGCTCTCGCAGCCACTTTCCCGCCTCATTGGCTCCCAAATGTATTTTAAATATCACTCTGCGCAGAGACAATTACTGAAAACGCTGAGCTCACACTGTTGATAGGCCCGGGCGGCCGGGCTCATTCCTCACCCACTGCCGTGCACGGACCCCTCCCTGCTGAAGCCAACCCCTGCCTCTTTCGGCCTGCTCTCGTCTCCTGGGGGTCCAGCCCTCTGGCCCCCCAACAAGTCTCTGACCTCCACTCCCACACAGCAGCCCCTGGCCCCTCCTTCCTCCCAAGGCTCCAAGCCTCCAGTGGTAGCCTCCCAGCCTGCCAAGATGTCACCAGACCTGGGAAGGCTCCCTTCCCTCCAATCCCTCCAGTCCCCAGCCCAGCCCCCTCCTCAGCTCCTTCTGGCAGCCAGGCCTCCAAAGGATCTGCCTGGGGCAAAGCCCTTCCCCCAGGGAGCATGCTCCGGCCACCCCTCCAGGCTCGGCCTGCCTTTCCTAAGTCAGTGGAGACCAGCTGGGTGAGAGGACAGAGAACAGGGGATAGACAGATTCAAGGAGCCAGGCCTACTCACTTTGGCCAGGCACACGTGTGTGCACACAGGCACATGGCCTGGAAAGCCCTGGTTTGGGGAGTGTGTCCCCACCCAACACAGCCCCTGGTGTCTCCCCGTGGCTGCCAGAGGCTTGTGGGGGGCAGTGTGGGTGCTCCTGCTGGCTTTATAGCCTCCTCCCTCTGGGGTCCACCCCTGCAGCCCCTTCCAGCTGGGGGTGGGAACATGGGGTCCAGGATGCTCTACACAGTGCCCTTCATGGCTCCACAGGTGAGCTGCTGCCAGGGGCCGGATTTCTACAAGAAAAAGGGTGTGAAGGGATATGGCCAGGGGGCTTTTCTGTCCTTCTGCCTCTTTCTCTCCCAGGCTGTTCACCTGGCCTGAGTGGAGAGCACCGTGGGCACTGTGGGGCTGGAAGAAGACTGCTCTGGGTGGGGGCCCTGCCCTGGCCAGCCCTGTGTTCCAGGACCCACCATGGTGGGCAGGTTGAGCTCACCATGCCAATGAACTCCATCTCCATTCGCCGGTCCTGCTGAGTGCGTTTCCTCTGCAGATAGCCTTTCCACACCTGGCGGAGGGATGTAGGGGACACACAGGACACACAGGACACACAGTCTCCACCCTGCAGCAGCCTGTCTCTCAGAGAGGGTCCGAGAGGGTCACACTAGAGATTTCCGGTGGGGTGGGGAGGAGCCCTGGGCAAGCCTGCTCAGGTGCACACTGAGCACAAACAGCCTGGAACAGGGTGGTTTCAGGTGGGCACTCAAGTCAACTGGCCCCAGGGCCCCCCAGGGATTTCTTCCTTCCCCTCGCCACCCTGATTTGCTATCTCTTTTGAGGGACAGATCAGAGCTCAAGCACCCTACACATTCCCTACACCCCCTCCTCAGAATCCCCAGAGCAGTTGGAATAAATACTTGATTCCACCCAGGCACATAGACACTGGCGCTGCAGGGACTGTGGAGCTCCTCAGTTAATCCTACATTTTTGACCCAAGGCAACTGAGGCCGGAGACTGGACATGACCTCTCCCAGGCCCAAGACCCCATCTGTGCAGAGCTGGACCCGTCCTCTTTCTCCCAGGCCCAAGACCCCATCTGTGCAGAGCTGGACCCGTCCTCTTTCTCCCAGGCCCAAGACCCCATCTGTGCAGAGCTGGACGCGTCCTCTTTCTCCCAGGCCCAGCTACTTTCAGACTCCAGGATCACTGAGTGCTAGTGGGGCCAGAGGGTGGGGACGCTGGGCAGAGGAAGGCAGAGTCAGGGCCCGGGCCAGCCAGTGCTTTCCATCTGCCTCCTGGCACCTCCAGGAGCAGGGACCGGTTCCTGCCCTTCTCATCTGGGCTTCGTCCTCCCACTCCTGTGACCACCACAGACCAGGCCTGCCATGACTGGGTCCTTCATATATTCTTTCCTTTTCTCAGTGCTCTGGATGACTCTAAGACCAGCACGCAATATTTCTGTACTCTTGATGTCTGGCAACAGGTACAAAATGATCTGCTTTGGTCTACAGGGGAAGTGGGACTCCATCTTTGGGGTCCATCCTCCTTCTTGACTTCTTTGCTTTAGTGAGCCCTGCTGTCGAGAACCTCCTTCTAAGCCAGACATTGACACAGTCATCCTGCCTCAGACCAGCATGCTCAGTGTACTGATAAGTAATGCACGAATCTATCCCATTTGCAGATGATATATCTTCATAGAATCACTATTGTTTGTTAGTTGGTTGCCTGCTTTTGTCTTTTGGTGGGAAGTTCTAAGTTTTCTCTAGTGGGCTAGGAGGCAGAGGTTTTTGAGGTATTGGGACTTGAGAGAGAGAGGAAGGCGGGGGAGATTGATTTGAGAGAGAAAGAGGGCCCACCCCAGGTCAACAGTTCCTGGAAAGAAAAGGTGGCAAGAGGCTTCCATGACAGAGCAGGGCCGGTGGCCTTAGGGGCAGTGACACCTGCATGAACAGAAAGTGGTCTGTTCCTGCACTGGAATTTTCCCGGGGCTCCTCCAGTCTCTGGTCAAGCTGTTAACCACTACTACCAGGAGTCAGCCTGTGTTAGCAGCATTTTAAGGAATGGTAGGAGAGGCCATGTTCACACATCAAGGCCAACAGCAGAGGCTGACCCAGAGAGGTGCAGAGTGGCTGTCCAGAGCAAAGGAGACGTGTGAGAACCAGGATGGTAAGAATGCTCGGGGAACCTTAGGGCAGAGAAGGGCTTTCTGCAGTGAGGTGAGACAGGGGATAGAATTATGGAAATTATGTTATTTCCATGTTAAAAGGTGACCCAGAAGGCACAGAGTTTGGGGGTGCTCAGATCACATCAGTTATCAAATTAATTCATCATGATCAAGTTTCCCTCTGTCTTAGTTTCCAGGAGGCTCAGGATCCTTTCTTGTTTTAAGAGATGGGGTCTTGCCACATTGCTCAGGGCTCAAGCAATGCTCCAGCCTCAGCAGGATACATTTTAGTGGCTCATTTTCAACAGTCTTAAGAGTTTCTGGAGTGATCATCTATTCTGTTCTATGCTATTATGGATCTTTCTTCTCTAATTTTAATGATCCTTCTGTTTCTGGGATTTTTAAGGTATCCTACTACAAACCCTTTTGAAAATAGAGATGTAGATTAAATAATAAATGAGTAAGATACATGCTTGCTGACTGATTAAAGTACTGACTGGTTTAGAATCTAGTTGTGGGGGCTGGGCATGGTGGCTCACGCCTGTAATCCCAGCACTTTGGGAGGCTGAGGTGGGTAGATCGCTTGAAGTCAGGAGATCAAGAGCAGCCTGGCCAACATGGTGAAACCCATCTCTACTAAAAATACAAAAATTAGCTGGGCGTATTGTCAAAGGATTGTAGTCCTGGCTACTCAGGAGGCTGAAGCACGAGAATCGCTTGAACCCAGGACACAGAGGCTGCAGTGAGCTGAAATCTACAGAATCCAAGCACTTGCACTCCTGTGATCAATTACTGAGCCCAGCAGGCTTCCTGAATGAGGTGACTCTACCCTGACCCTCCTCCTGGGCACCTAGGGTTACCTTCTGTATGGTGACAGCTGCTTGGCCCTGACTGAACTTGTGCCATCCATCCTCCCGAATCCTCCCATCCTGCTCCTCATCTCTTCGAATCTCTCGCATGAAGGTGGCTCGAAGCCGGCCTTGCCTCGCCCGCTCTGCCTTTTGCACTAGAATTATGGCCTCAGTCCGGTGCATTCCTGTAAAGCTCTGGCCAGAGCAGGGGCAAAAGAGCAGGAGCACATGAGGGAGAGCTTGCATCCAGGGTGGGCCGCTGGGAGACCAGCCATCAAAGGATGCACCAGGACACCATCCTCCCAGAGTATCTGGGAGGCCAAGTCTTGTCTTGGCGTTGGAGGGTTACCATCAGCAGAAGAACAGCCTTGAAGGAGGCCAGGGATTACCTAAAGGGCACTCTGGTAGAGAGCAGGGAGGGGCCTCTCTGCATTCTGGAGTCTTTCAGGAGATGGGGTATGGAAGAGTCTGGGAGGGTGTCACCCCCGTTTACCTTCTGGGAGGACACTGGCTCCAGTCTGGACAGGATCTCGGCCAGTATCAGCCCTCGCTCCCGCACAGTGGTGGACTGCTCCAGCAGGAAGTATTTGGGGATTGGAACCTCCAGGTCAGCCTTTGGAGCAATGTTGGGGGAGGAGGGTCAGGAATCAAAAGTCTGAGCCATCTGGCCGATCCGTTACCATTTTTAGGGGCTTACACACCCCCAGCACTGTTTTCCTCCATTTTAGAGTCCTGACTAAACTTAAAGGGTAATGGGGCAGATACCCCCAAGAGCCACTCCTCTCTTCCTCTGCCCCCATCCTCTGGCTGGAGTTGAATTCTGGAGGCTCATGGTAGGTGGCAGTGGTCTCAGACCTGGTTGTGCATCACAATCAACTGGGAAGCTCTTAAATGCAGATTCCTAGGTCCTCCTCAGACTACTACATCAGAATGACAGGACCTGGGGAATCTTCCCTGCGCCCCCACCCCCGACCAAGTGCACTGCTGCAGCTGGTTGGGGAAACTTTGAGATAGTCTTGGATATGAAGCAGTTACTGAACCCTGAGCCGGACTGGAGGCGCCGCAGAAGCTCTGTGCTCTAGAACAGCCTTCTAGAACTTGCCCGTGCACACAGATCACTGGAGGGTCTTGATAAAAATGCAGGTGCAGATTTAGTGAGTTAGGGATTCAGAGTTTCTCATTTGTGATGTCAATGCTGCTGGTCCAGGGACCACACTTTGAGGAGGCTCTAAAGGACTCTCCTCACCAATTCCCTGCGGTTCGTGGGTCTTCCCAGTCATGCAGGGGACCTCACCCTGACTCCATCCAACCTCTAAGTACCTCCATGCACACCCCCCACCGCCAAGGTTCCTGAAGCCCTTCCTACAAGGCCAAACCCCATCCTCTGATCTTCTCTGCCCTCCTTCCTTTCCTAGCAGTTGTCCCAACACCAGGGATATCCGTGGGGTGGCGGGTAGGCAGGGGTGGTCGGCCCCATCCCTACCCCACCCGACCCCAAGCTGGCCAGGGCGTGGCTCTGTGTCCCAGGTGGTCAAGGCCGGTCCCACCCCACCTCTCCCCTCCCGCTAGCTGGCTGGGGGCGTGGCTTCGCGGCTGCGCACACGTACTGGGGTGAGCTTGAAATCCTGCAGCACGCGGTCCAGGCAGTGGTTCTCACACAGGTCGGCGCGCACCAGCTCGTCCTTGAGCTCCAGCACGCGGCCCGCCACGCCGTCCAGCAGGCGTCGCAGCAGCCGCCGCTTCTGCGGCTGCACCATCTGGTCATAGACGGTGTCGAAGCGGCGCAGCAGCCCCAGGTAGTGCAGGTAGAGCGATGCGAGCCTGTACTGGAAGGACTGCCGCTCCCGGTCGGGCGCAGGTTCGAGCAGAAGCTGCTCTTGGTCCAGCAGCTCCTGCAGGGTCGCGTGGGAGGACTCCCAGAGGCGCTGGTAAGCTCTGGGGAGAGGGTGGCGGGCGCCGCGTGCTCTGAGCCACGGAGGAGTGGGGAGACGGAGCAGCCTGGCCTTTTGAGGAGTGTGGGCTCGGGGTACCAGAAGGTGTGATGTCACTCATGGCTCCTAAATGGACTTCAATGAGGTAAGGAGCCCGCAGGGCAATGAGTGGACACCGACCTGGTCTTAGGGAGAGTGTGGGATTGGGCTCCGCTGTAGGATTAGCAGAGAGAATGGGCATGACCTTTGGGGGTTTGGGGGAAAGCCAGCCCAGGCTTGGGGCTCTGGTAAGGAAGGGGTCTTTGGGAGTCAGGGGCAGTGGGGCCCTCCAGGTGTGGGGCAGCCCACGGATGCTGCAGTGATCTGGGCTGGTGGATGGGAAGTGGGGGTGAGGGATGAATGTGGAGGAGGGACCCTTCCCCAAGCAGAGCCCTGGTTCTGGAATTAACCATCGGAGGGAAGTTTCCACAGTGAAAGCTGCCAGGGCAGCAGCAGCAGCTGGGGTGGCCCAGTGCCCAAACCGCCACTCTGCCCCTGCCTCTCAGGACTAAGGAGATGCTCTGCCCTTTGCTGTCTCTGCCCTGGGAGCCCCACTCCAGCCCCTCACTCACCCCTCAGACATTGTGTCCACTCCTCCACGCTGCCCCTTGTTTGCTGGTGGTGGAATTCACAGAACCTCTGTGGCTCCCTGACTTCCAGGGCCACAGGGCAGAACAGCCTGTTTTTAAGAGTTCTGACCCATTGTACCAGTGTTCTAGGGCTGAGGCGAGGGGGCTGGTGGGTGCAGAATCGGGGACATTTATCTCGGAGGACGTCCTGGGAGCAGCGCGCTGAAGGGACTGTGGGTGGGTGGCTGCAGGCTCCCGCAGAGCAAGCTTTGGAAGCTTAGGGCAGAACATGTTGTCCAACTTTGGCCATTTTTCTTGTAAGGAACAAGTAAAATAAGTTTCTATTTGAAGTCCCCTGAAAGCTTTGGCGCTCTGGATACATCTGTCCTAAAGACATTACCCCCTAACAAGGCATCACCGCAGCTTCTCACTCTCAGCGGCCTCTGTTCCTTCTCTCAGCCCCCGCCTCCTGAGCCCCACAGCCCTCCTTCACTCTCTGGATGACAGCACGGGGAAGCCCATGTGGTGGAGGGGAAAGGCACTGATTTGGAGTCAGAAGGCCCTGAAGTCCCAGTTGCCCCCTTGGGTGAAAGTGAGCATAACCATGCTTTCCTCCCTGGGGCCTGCCAAGAGTTCACACCATTCCCATGAGCCAGACCCGTGTGAAGCATCATGCTAGAAAGTATAGTGGATGCTGTTCTGCATGCTTGGGGCTTACTTGGTCACCTGTGGGTACCACCTCCCGTCACTGCTACAAGTTCAGGAGATAATTTTTCCAAAAAGACAAAATATTATACCACTAGCAGCCTGAGGCTGGTCAGCTGGGGTGAGCTTTTTGGCTCAGTGTCACGTCGAGGCTTATGAATAAGTAAATCTAAGAGGAACAGGGCCAGGGAAACGGACAGAAGGGAGATAGCGGCAAGGAGGAGCAAAGAGGAGGAACTCGAAGGTGCCTATGAGCTACCTGAGGGTCTCATTAAAATGCAGATTCCAGGCTGGGCGCAGTGGCTCATGCCTGTAATCGCAGCACTTTGGGAGGCCAGGGCAGGCGGATCTCCTGAGGTTGGGAGTTCAAGACCAGCCTGGCCAACATGGTGAAACCCCATCTCTACTAAAAATATAAAAATTAGCCAGGCCTGGTGGCACATGCCTGTAATCCCAGCTACTCGGGAGGCTGAGGCAGGACAACCGCTTGAACCTAGGATGGGGAGAGGTTGCAGTGAGCAGAGATGGCACCACTGCACTCCAGCCTGGACAACAAAGCGAAACTCTGTCTCAAAGATAGATAGATAGATAGATAGATAGATAGATAAACAGATTCTGCTCCAGATCTGAGGGGGGACCCAAGAGCCTGCCTTTCTAACAAGCTCCCAGGTGCTTTGGCTCCTGCTGGCCCGGGTCATGCCTGGTAGGGCAAGGTGTGAACACAGGGCAGAGTGGGCAGGAGTGAGACTTTGGGGCCAGATCTCCTGGGCCTGCCTCTTGCTAACTGTGAATGTAAACGTGGATCATTAGTCCTCAGCTCACAGAACCTCAAGGTGAGGCTCGAGGTATGAGAAAATACACGTGACCTAGGTAGCTGCCGCTGAACGTCAGCTATTACTACAAGGCGATGCCTTTTCAATATGTGGAGATGAAGGAGACCACAAGCCAGGTCTGTCCAATTACAAACGGCACAAAGGATTGGAGGTTTGTCTAAATCCCACCCCTTCATCTTGTCCAAGCTTGGAAGAGGATTTATGGGTCATGTGCCCACAAGATAAGCAGAGGCTGCATGAGACAGGAAAAGCAAGTGGTTAAGTGGTGAGCAGTAAATCTAGGTAAGGACATAGGCGTGGCCGTGGTGCTTCTTGCAGTTTTTCTGTGGGTTTCAAATTTTTCCAAATAAAATTGGTGATGTTAGGAGTTTCAAAAACATCCCCACTGATTTGTTCCGAAATAAAGGGGAAACTGAAAAATCATACTGATCTCAGCAGGTTATTTAGAAGCCGATCTGGGCCTTCAGTTTTTATATCTTGAATAGATCTGTGTGGCCCCTTCACACAACAGTGCCTGTCGTACAGGATGCAATGACAGTTGGTGGGAAATGACATCGCGAAGACACAGCCTGAAAGAGGACCATACAGGAGGAATTTCAGGCCCCAAGAGGGAATCAGCTGGCGGTAAATCCAGATGCTAGTCCAGTCCCAGGTCCTATTTCAGCTCACTACCAAATAGAACATTCGCATGTTTACAAAGCTATCACACGTTGCTCACGGGATACACCTAGAAAGCAGTTTCTAAGACATCTGAAGAAGTGCTGCTCCACCTGTGGTAGCCTCGAAGTGAGGACACCCTGGCTCCAGACCACACCCTGGCCTCACACACCCTTCTTTCAAATCACCACAGGGCACAGAAACAGTTCACCCTTTATTTTTGTCAGGCCCTGGGTCACTTGGAGCTGGTGTACTTGGTGACAGCCTTGGTGCCCTCAGACACAGCGTGCTTGGCCAGCTCCCCAGGCAGCAGCAGACGCACAGCCGTCTGGACTTCTCGGGATGTCAGGGTGGTCCGGCCCGAGTACTGGGCCAGCCGGGCAGCCTCACACGCCAGCTGCTCAAACACGTCGTTTACAAACGAGTTCATGATGCTCATGGCCTTGGCAGAGATGCCAATGTCAGGGTGCACCTGGAGAGAGGGCAGCACCACTCGGTTAATGGAAGGGGCCAGGGGAGGGGGGGTCCTGCCTACACTGCAAGCCTCAGCCCTGAGCTGGGGGCTCTAGGAAGCCAGAGGCAGAAGGCAAGGAGGCTCCTCACCAGCCCCTTCCCAGAGGCCAACAGTCATGGAAATAGGGATTTGTGTTTTCTTTGTACTGCTATGGTATATCTAAGTTTTTTAAAAGAAGTTTTCAACTGCAGGAGGTAACATGATTAAGCTCCTTGTATGAGCACACACAAGCATCTGTATTTAACAAATGGGACCAGTTACACATGCATCTTGCTGGTTTCACTGATGCATTTGCATAGTGTTCCACGGTATGGATGTATCATACTTCCTAACACCATTCCTCTCTTCACGAATATTCAGGATTTGGGTTTGGGGTGTTTTTTGTTGTTTTTGCTATTAGATGGTGCTATGGTAAATGCCCATCTTTGAATCTTGTGCGAGCATAGGGAAGGTTATTTCCAGAGGCGGGACTGTAGTGTCAAAACGTTTGTGCATATAACTTGGTGGAGCACATAACCAGTGAGCCTGTCCATGTGACACAGTCGCAGCCCCGGACCAGGGGAGGAGTCCTGTTCTGCAGCTGTACTGTGAATCCCTACGACCTCAAATACGGCCCTTTCCTCTGGGCCTCAGTTTCCTCTTCTGTCACACAAGCTTTTGAACTAAGTGATCTCTACTAAAGCAAATGGGAACTGATGGCAGTTCTAAAATGTGAGTAGGTAGACCTGGTCAGATGTGAAGTGGGAGAGAAGTGACTGTCCCACAACCTACATGGAGTCAGAGATGAAAACAGCACTAGAACCAGGAGGCTCTGTCCCACCCGCCCTCCCTGCCACCTCTGGTCTCCACTGCCAGCAGCAAATCTGCACCTGGCACAAGGCTAGTTCTGCCCAAACCCCCTCTGCTGTCAGCACACCCCGTTCTCCTTAGAGCTCTCACCCAGATCAGGAGGTTGAGGGGTTGGCCCTCAGCAGCACTCTCCTCTGTGAGTACAGGCCTTGTCCCACCCATCAGTTGCAATTTTTGCCCCTCAAAGTCGGGCTAAGACACAAGGCTCAGCGATACCCACTCCTACCCCACCTTCTTCAGGGCACCAGAGTCTGTCCTCTGGTGCATCTCTTCAGCCAACCCATATCAGTGCTGGACCCACCCACCCCCAACCCCACAAGAGCATTCCCAGGCACCCAGGTTGTCAATTCACTAAACCGCTAATGGGATTTGGACTGGAGACAGGCATTACCTCTGGGGCCTGCTCTAACAGAGGGGTAAGAGTTTCAAGCAGGTTGGAGACCCAGGGCGGGCAACACATGGCTACCCCCGCCTCCTCCTGGCCTTGGCCCTGCTGAGCAGCAGCTTTGGATCCTCCAGACAAATTGATTGTCAGTGTTCCAAGTCCTGGGAGTAGCTGCTTTTCGTGCATGAATATAGGGCACCTGCAGCCCCAGTGTGTTGGGGAGACGGACACACAGGAAGGATGCTAGGGGCTTGCCCAGAGCCAGGGGAACTGGGACACTGCCACTGTCAGGCCATGTGATGCAGGAACCCCATGGAGCCTTTAGGGGCCTCAAGCTGTTTGTCTATAAGGTGGACAAACCCTAAGCCCCTCAAAGAACTGAGTGCCACTTGTCCAGAAGACCTTCCCCAAGACTCCAGTTCACCCTGATCACTCCTCTTCTCGGTCACCAACACACTTTGTATCATAATGTGTTTGGCACCTGATCACCTTCAGCCTGGCATAGAAAGTGTGGTCCTCTTGTCCTTTAATTATGTCCCACCTAATCACGTTATCTCATCATCGTTCCCGTAAACTTCTGGAGGGTGGCAGGGAGCACGCTTTGTCTCCTATCACCGGTGCCCAAGATCCTGAGAGAGGTGGAGACCTCAAAAACCAGGTCCCGCCACCTCAAGAGGGGCCAGGCCTGCCTGAGCCACTTGCCCCAGTGCCAACACTAACCTCAAGGTCCCCACTTCCAGCCAGTGCCCTTTCAAGGCGCTTTGTGAGGGCATCCCTCACACACATCCTTGCTATGCACTCACCTGCTTCAGCACCTTGTAGATATACATGGAGTAGGACTCCTTGCGCCGACAGCGCTTTTTGGACTTTTTGTTCCCAGAACTGCGACCCCCACGGCCCCCGGGCTGCTGCCGCTGTCCATACTCAGCGCTCATCCTCCTGCTTCTCGAATAGCCCTCACCCACCCCCTTGGAGCTACTTTTTATCAAGTCAGCTGCCCCACCAGGTGTGGCTGGGGACATGCACCTGGGAGGGGGGGGGGGGGCAGGTGGGAGGTAAGGGGCGTGACTCAATCCCAATCCTGAACATGCTCTGGGCTAACCTTGAAAAGAGACTAATTGTTCCTTCCTCTCCCACAAGTAATCCCTCTGAATTAAGAAACCCTTCACCGGGTCCCCTCCCCCACCCAACCATCTCCCAGTGTATTTACGCACTTCTTAAAAGTTCAGGCAACTCCAGCCCACCAGCCTGTAATCACGGAGCACACAGGTGCCAGCACAGCTCAGAGTGCTGCAGACTCCAGAAGGAATGCAAGCTCCCTCCCCCACTGCGCCCCAGTGGAGGTGAAGAGACAAGACTGGTTCACATCAAACCACCAGAGAAGGGTGAAGGGGCTAAAAGTGGTGGTACCCATGGTGAGGAGGGCTCGAGTAGCTAGAGGCCGCTTCTTGGTACAAATGGGTATATGAAGGGTATCCTTCATATACCCATTGTAGGATGTATCCTTGTAGGATGTATCCTTTAATTGGGAAGAATGAGAGAAAGAAACGGTGTGAAAGGTAGAGTGGAATCAGTGTGAGCGGAGTATAATGAGGCTTGGACTGAAGGCAGATGAGCAAAACGCCTGAGCCTGGACTAGATGCAGATAGCAGAAGCTCCCCAGGTGGTGAAGAGGCTGACAGGGAGGAAGACCACTGGAGGAGGTGAGAAGCAGAAAAGCAATAGGTGCTCACCAGAAAAGCAGACGTGGCGGTCTTGGGAGTTAGCAGTAAAGGGAAGAAAAGCCCATTGCAAAATGGAGAAAGTCAATTGTCTCACTTAGCACCTATGGGGGAACAAATACTTCAGGCCCTTGAATGCTGTGATTAAAGAAACCTGGAGCAATATGAAAGGTATAGGGGCTTGGGGGAAAAGAGGATGTTACAAATTGAGAGGTGGGAGAAGGGTTCCAAAGACCAGCATCACCTGCTGGCTGTGTTAAAGCTAGCAACCCCTCAATCAACTTACCTCTCCACCCAGCTCTGAACGGCTGGCCACATCCTACGGGCTAAGGTTTAAGAGAATTAACAGGCCACTTCTCAATCCAAAACAAGGCACTGCTAATTTTAGAAATATGTATTTTGTGGACTTTTAAAGCATTATTTAAATTACCAAGGTTGACATTTTTCTTGACAAATAAGCTGACTAGACTATTTCCATTCCTCCAGGTTCTGAAGATCTCCTGTCCTAGTATGGAGACTCTGGAGATCCCGAGACTACCTGAATTCTTAGCAATATCCAGCACTTCCTTAAGTATCAAGGGCTCTGTCCCTCACTGTCCCCATTATCCCAGCAGCCCACTCTCCAGATGCCATTCTCCCCTGAACCAAGGCTCTGGACTCTCAGGACAGACTAACCTGGGCCATTTTGCTCCAGGCCCCACTTAAGGCATAAAGCAGTCAAGCCAGTACCCTCTGGGGTCAGAGGACTCCCATCTGTCTCAGCTGCAGTGTCTCACGGGAGGCTCCTGTCCCTGTTGCCCAGGGCAGCTCCTGGACTTTGTGGCCATCTGAGAAGATCCTACTCATTTTTCAAGTGAGAGCACACCAATTCCACCTTTCTGGGCAGCTACTCACAAGAAATTTCCCTCCTTTTTGAATACTTCTGTCTCCTATCTAAATCACAATTTAGCATCTAATTTGTGTCCTGTATGGTTCTGTCTTACTGGCTTTCCAAGAAGATCATGAGCTCCTAAGGGGTTTAAGCACCATCTGGGACAGTTGCTCCCGCCAGTCCTGGCTGTATTATGAGTACTGAAAAATCATGGCTGTGTCTTCCCATAGGGATGGCTGATTTCAGAGGCAGAGTGATGAATCCACACCAGGAAGGATGGCCACTGGTGAAATGCTATTGAAGTTCAAAAGACCCAGATAAGGTATGCAGAGCCCTGGGCTGGAAGTGAATTCAACAGTGATGATAACTATGGCTGTGGACAGGTAAAAATACAAAATTTCCTGTATCCCAATAGGAAGAGAGGTTCACAGACGTTGGTGTGAAAATGCAAACTCCTGGCCATCTCTGCACCTCTCTCATTCTACCAAATGCGATTAATCAATAGGTCTGATGCTCAGCAATCTGAATTTTTTTATTTTTTTGAGACAGTGTCTCGGTCTGTCATCAGGCTGGAGTGTAGCGGCACGCTCTGCTCACTGCAGCCTCAACCTCCTGGGCTCAAGTGAGCCTCCTCTTATCAGAGCAGCTGGGACCGCAGGCACATGCTACTATGCCCGGTTCATTTTATTACTATTTGTAGAGAAGGGGTCTCCCTACTTTGCCCAGGCTGGTCTTGAACTTCTAGGCTCAATTGATCCTCCTACAGTGGCCTCCCAAGGTGATGAGCTTACAGTCGGATTACAGGTGTGAGCCACTGTGCCTGGCCAGTCTGCATTTTTTTGAGACAGGGTTTTGCTCTGTCATCCAGGCTGGAATGCAGTGGTGCAATCTCAGCTCACTGCAACCTCCACCTCCTGGGCTCAAGCGATCCATCCACCCTAGCCACCTGAGCAGGTGGGATTCCAGGCACATAAAGACGGGTTTTGCCATGTTTCCCAAGCTGGTCTTGAACTCCTGAGCTCAAGTGATCCACCTGCCTCAGCCTCCCAAAGCGCTGGGATTACAGGTGTGAGCCACCGCACCTGGCCTGCATTTTTAACAAGCAGCCCAACTGCTGTGCAGTTGGGGCAGAACCTCAGATCACAATCAGAAAACCACGCTCCTGGACAGTGGTTCTCAAAATAGTCTCTAGACCAGCAACAACAGCATCACCTGGAAACTTGCTAGAAATGTTAACGTTCTTGGTCTCCCCCAAAACCTATTGAACCAGAAACGCTGAGGCGAGATCTGGCAATCTGATTGCATGAGCCCTCCAGGTGATTCTGATTCATGTTAAAGTCTGTGAATCACAGGCCTGAGAAAAGGTACAATTTCAAATCAGAAGTAAAGGGACAAAGTTCTTCCAGCTCCTATGGACTAGTCTTCAGTTCCCATCGACACACTGACGCTGGATCCAGCTCCTGCTGTGGGCAGTGCATGTTGGCACTGCAGGGAGGAGAAGGCCCCAGAGACCCGAGAAGGAAGGTAGGGACCGTGGCTTCCTCTTTCTTTATTGGGCGCTTTGTAGATGTCACGCAGGTCTAAAAGTTACACTGCTAAATAATTATTTAAAAACTGACCAGGACGAAGGTCCTGGTCCGGAGCTCCAAACCAGAAGCAAAAAGGAATCGGGGCGGTGGGCTGGGGGGTACTCCTCCAACATCACCAAAACCCAGAAAACGAGGATCCTAAGCTCCTCCGCAGGCCAAATCCAGGGCTTGGGCCCCTGGGCTAACCCGCAGGTGCCTCTGACTGCATCACACTCAGAGTAAGATAACCAGCAAGGGGCTGGAGGGAACGGCCAGCCGAGTCCAGACATGGACAGATGTAACTGGAAGGAGGACAGGAAACAGACAGGTACTGTCCAGCTGTAGGTAAGAGAGTGCAGCTAAGGCAGGTTGAGGGGCAGGGGAGAGGCTGGGGGAGCAGTATTGCAGCAATGCAGGAGTGTAGCCCCAGGGTCCTGTCCTGAGCGGCTGGTCAGGTTAGCAGCTGTTAGTTCCCAGATGGAGCTCCTGACCCGAACCCAGGTAGAGGGCTCACACGTTGTGGGTCCTCTTGGTGAGCTGGGGCTCCTCATCCACCAGCTTGGACTTGAGGTGCTCCTTGTAAGCCAGGATGTCTCCAGGCCACTTGGTGATTGTCTGCTTCTCACAGACCCAAATTTCCTGTGCAACCTAGAAAGCAAAACCTGGACTTAATCCTGGGCTAGTCACTGTCCCTGCCTCTGCCCAGCAGACTGTCCTGAGGGGCGTCTAGGAAGAAAACTCCGCCCCCCAAACCCATATCCAACTCACTGTCTCACTACTTCTAAGTTATTTGGGATGTTCTAACCCAAGGGTACCATCATCAGGTTTGGAGCCTTCCAAGCCAGGAACTGCTGTGTCACTCCTATTGTCAGCTCCCTGGCAGGGCCTAGATCTATTCAGAGGCTTCACTCTCAGCCTTCTTTTCTCCACCTCTCATCTTCCCCAGAGCTTCAGAGGAATGAGCAACAACTTTTTCTCAAATGACTGTGGTAGCTGTCTAATCAAAATCCTCCTTAGAATACTATTTTTGGACTGAAGAATCTTGGGACAGTAGTAAAAGCACCGTTTTCTACCCAACTCTCTTTCCCATTTGGGCCCAAAATGCTAAGTTGGTTGACATCTCCAGATAGCTACTGAAGAAATGAAGTGTTTCAGTTAAGGCTTTCTAAGTAGCCCCAAAGAGGCATAAGAACTGGTCCTCACCACCTGTGTCTACACTCTGAGCCCCTTCTCTTAATTCAGTAGGCGGGTATTATGCACCCTCCACATGCCATGACTACCCTACCCAACCCCCTAGAAGCTCTGCTGTGCCTCACCCCCTGGCCAGGGCCTCACCTGCTGAATGAGTCTGAAGTCATGGCTGACCAGCATCATACCACCCTCAAACTCATTGATGGCATCTGCCAGGGCGTCGATGGTCTCGATATCCAGGTGATTGGTGGGTTCATCCAGGAAGAGCATGTGGGGGTTCTGCCAGGCCAGCCAGGCCAGACACACTCGGCACTTCTGCCCGTCTGACAAGTTCCGGATTGGGCTCACCTGAGTAGAACCGTGACCTACATATAACTTGGCATTATCCCCGCCAAACAGCACAGCTCATCTCTCCCTCATTTCTCCCTGACTCCTCCATTAGCATCGCCATTTATAAAAAGTGAGGCTCAGAGAGACCCACTAGTCTCTTGAGGCCTGAAAGAGACTCATCCGGAAACCTGAAGCCCTTGCCATTACTAAGCCCACACCTCTCGCTCTCTTGGCAATGAATTGGATCCTTCCAGATCTGAATCCAGAAATTTGTTTTCTAGATTACAAGTTCCTTTGCCCTCAAGCACTATGGCACAAGGGCATGTCAGAGACTGGCACGCTATCCTTGCCCCCTCAAAATGCTCCATTACATAACAACCTAGAGTAAAGAAAAGGTAGTAGGTTCTTAGGGGAGTCAAATGGAGGAGACTCTGGTTTGGACAGCTTCCAAACCCAGGCTGCCAGGACAGTATCCCCTGACCCACCCAGCCACAGTCTGCCAGCTATCTGGCATCCTCACCACACCCTCCTTTACTGACCTGTTGTTTCCCAGTGAGACCGTATCGCCCAATGATCTTCCTCATTTCTTCCTTCTCCTTGATCTCTGGGTAGCACTTCATCATGTACTCCAAAGGTGAGAGATCTAAGTCCAGCTGCTCTTGTAAATGCTACAGGAAAAATGGAAGCCACCCGGGTGTGACTGGCATCCCGCTTCAAAATAAACCCTACTAGGTAACTTCCTATTTCTATCCCAGGCACCTGTTCTGGGTTCAAGAAGCAGGTAGGAGCCACCTAGGCTGGAATTCCTGCCAGGGGGTGGGGGCGGCTGGCTGGAACTCAGCCAGATACAGCCCCTCCCTATACCCTGGGCAATTCCCCGGATCCCAACCCCAGGCCTGTACCTGATGGTAACGCCCTATCTTGACATGAGAGTGTTTTCGGATCATGCCATCTGTGGGTAGTAGCTAGGAAGAAAAAAGTAGAAACGTAAGCATGAAACAAAGGAAGCCCAGTTAGAAACATAGGCAGAGCAGGCAAACAAACACATGTTCACACTGAACAAGACTCAACTTCCTAAAAAGAATACATCACCAACTCGCACACTGCTATTCTGGCCACTCTAAAAATATTTAGGAAGATGTACTGAAGCAGATGTTCTCAAGAGGCAAAGATACAATTTAAGTAGTTATAAAATGTCTACTGAATGCACTATGCTGTATAACAAAGGACTTGGATGTAGGTGCAACATACATTTTCTAAAATTAAAAACAGTTAAGTCCTCAAAGTTGTCACTGTCATCGATAGGTTCTTAGAAACAGAACCTATTTTAAAGTTTCACTTTAAGTGAAACAACATATAGCAAAACTAATTTTGCCACAGGCTAACTGATATAAACAAGAATTAGGTTCCTGCAGCATTTTTGGTCACAAAAAAAGATCACCAAACTTCTAAATAAAGATCCAAAGATTCTTTTCTTTAAGAGGGAGTCTCGCTCTGTTGCCCAGGCTGGAGTGCAGTGGCGAGATCTCGACTAACTGCAACTTCTCTGTCCCAGGCTCAAGAGATTCTGGAGTAGCTGGGATTACAGACACCCGCCACCACACCTGGCTAATTTTTTTTTTGCATTTTTAGTAGAGAGGGGGTTTCACCATGTGGCCAGGCTGGTCTCACACTCCTGATCTCAAGTGATCTGCCTGCCTCGGCCTCCCAAAGCACTGGGATTACAGGTGTGAGCCACGGCACCTGGCCAAAAAACCCAGTCACTTCTAATATTCAACATCAAAATACATGTGAGCTATACATACACTTAAGAAAGATTAATAAAAACAAGGTAAGATATTTACCCAATTTTTGGTGAATCAGTGAGTGATGGCAATTTTAAGAGTGGTGGGTTAAACCAAGGAATAAATGTTTGCAAAGGGAAAACTGTAAGGAGCACCTCCTACCACCACACAGTTAAAAAATAATCACGAATGTGGCTGGTTTGCTGACTGCATTTGTATGGTTATCATAAACTTTATGAATTTTTCTTTTACAATATTTTATATTCATTCATTCTATCATTTTCCAACCTGCTTATTCAAGTTTAGGATCATGGGCAGCTGGAGCCCATCCCACAACCCAGGGAACAAGACAAG
The DNA here is from genome assembly GCF_000001405.40 of Homo sapiens. NCBI lineage: Eukaryota > Metazoa > Chordata > Mammalia > Primates > Hominidae > Homo > Homo sapiens. The sequence continues at coordinate 151,217,203 of NC_000007.14, forward strand.
AACCAGCCCTGAAGAGGACACCATTCCATTATAGGATGCACTCACACACCCGCACTCATTCAGACTGGAACCACTGAGACGTTCCAAGTAACCTGACAGGTGCAGCTTTGGAATTGGGAAGAAACTGAAGTACCAGAGAAAACCCATGTAGACGTTAAAGGGAAAGTGCAAACTCCACAAAGACAGTGGCCCCAGCTGGGAATCATTTCTATTTTTCATCAATATTAATGAAATGACATTACTTGAGAACCTGCAGCATCCCTAAATGCACAGATGTTCCTATATTCTAAATGCTCTGATTGAAAATAGAAACATGGGCCAGACGCGGTGGCTCACGCCTGTAATCCCAGCACTTTGGGAGGCCGAGGTGGGCAGATCATGAGGTCAGGAGTTCAAGACCAGCCTAATGAACATGGTGAAACCCCATCTCTACTAAAATACAAAAAAATTAGCTGTGGCGTGTGCCTGTAATCCCAGCTACTTGGGAGGCTGAGGCAGGAGAATTGCTTGAACTCGGGGGATGAAGGTTGCGGTGAGCTGAGATCGCACATTGCACTCCAGCCTGGGCAACAGAGCGAGACTCCACCTCAAAAAAAAAAAAAGAAAATAGAAACGTGCTTAAACACATACATGTATTCACACACACACTCTAAGACTCCTCCCTACCTATCCCTGTCCCAGGAAAACAGCCCCCAGCCTCAGCACTGTCCAACCAGACATTCCCCCTCTCCTGGCTGCTGCTCCACCCCTCCAGATGGCTCACTCACCACCAGGGTACTCAGGCCCTCCCAAAGTAGTAGCCCCTGCATCACTCCCCTCTTCCTTAACCATCGCAAGGCCTAATCTTAGAGGGATCCACGCCCACCTTGGCACCATACCTCTCCAGTTAGCAGCTTCAGAAGAGTTGACTTCCCTGCTCCATTGGGCCCTACCAGAGCCACTCGTGTGTCAAGGTCAATTCCAAATTCTAGATTATTGTAGATGCAAGGCTGAGGTGGGGATGAGAGAGATGTGGACACAAGGCTAGAATACAGATCTGCTATGACCAGCAGACCAAGCCCGCTGAATTCCCAGTCACCAAGAGAGGAGGAAGGGAGAGTAGCGGGAGGAAGCACTCATAGCAGACCCCGCCTCGCCCACTGCCTCCGCCCACCAACCCAGCTGAGTAGTCTTCTTTCCATATACACGAAGAAAGGCCCGCGAGCAGCCTTGGATGAGGCACCCCAGCTGCCACACCTGAAAATCCCCCAGAGCACGTGGGCTAGCAGGTGTGGTCAGCACAGAACAGGAGCAACTCCCATGAGCTGCCACTCACCCTAAGATACACCCCAGCCACCCATGCCCTGCCCTGAACTTACCCCATCTTTTGTATACTTGAAGCTCACATTTTGCACCATAATGACAGGTGGAGGGATCTTGCCACATGGTGGGAAATAAAATGACAGTGTCTAGGAAGAAAAGAGGGCATTTATCAAGTTGGCTCCTTTCTTATCCACCTCACCTTAGGCCACCCAACCCCACCCAATCACACCCCACCCAATCACACCCCACCTTATCGCTCACGACCCTCTCTGTCAGTCCTGATGCCATCATTTTCTGTAGCGTCTTCTCCTTGCTCTGGGCCTGCCGGGCCAGCTTGGCACTGCCATGACCAAACCTCGCAATGTAGTTCTAAAAAAGACCAAAGAGAGCTTGGAGTATGTGCAGGCGCTCAACAATTCATCTTCAATCCAGGGTAAAAATGTTGATCGTAACTTCTTCCCGACATCCTCCATCACTACCGCTTCTCGAAATGCCCTCATCCGAGCCCCCTGCTTCTTTCAGACAGGAGGCCATGAGCCTGACTCTGCAGTCTCCCTACCTTCATGTGTGCAATCTGATCTTGCTCCCAGTGAAACCTCTTCATCTGGTTCTCCTCCAGCTCTAGCCGCGTCTTCACGTACTGATCATAATTACCCTGCATGGAAATGTGCCAGGTAAGGCAGGCAGCTTTAACCTGGGTTTCAATCCTGGATTCTCACTCAGAGTTTAGGGGGATGAGGGATGGCACTAACTTGGCCCTGGCTCTAAGGCTGTGCAGTAAGAAGAGAGGACGTGCATTACAGAAGCATATCCTAACATCAAATCGGAGTCTTTTCAATTCTATGCCCCTCGCTCAGCCCAGCCAGGGCCAGGCTCCAGCGCAAATCCTTAGGTTAGCTAGAAAGACACCTGTGGCACTGGGAATAGTCCTGAAAATCACGGTCATACGGACGTCACGAGGCTCAGAGCCTTCCAATACCACCTCCTATTCCTTCCCCGTTCCCTAGAGGCTGAAGCCCCACAAAAGACTGCAAGAGCTGTCTCCAGAGGGGAAAACAGACCATTCAGATTTAGAAGCTGACAAACCCTGCATAAGTGGACTACCATGGTTTCTATCTGCAAACAAAAACTGGACTCAAGCTAAATATCCACCAGAAAGGGCCTAACAAGTTACAGGATAAACACATAACGAAATACTATGCAGTGACTGAAAAGATTGTGATTGATTTATATATACTCACATGGAAAGCAGTCCAAAATATACTAAATTTAAAAAAGCAACCTACAGAATGATTATTAAAATTGTAACTGTGGCCAGGTGCAGTGGCTCACACCTGTAATTCCAGCACTTTGGGAGGCTGAGGTGGGTGGATCACTTGAGGCCAGGAGTTTGACAGCAGCCTAGCCAACATGGCGAAACCCCGTCTCTACTAAAAATATAAAAATTAGCTGGGTATGGTGGCATGTGCCTGTGGTCTCAGCTACTTGGGAGGGTGAGGTGGGAGGATCGCTTGAACCTGGGAGGCAGAAGTTGCAGTGAGCCAATATCACGCCACTGGACTCCAGCCTGGGTGACAGAGACAGACCCCATCTCGAGAAAAAAGAGGCCGGGTGCGGTGGCTCACGCCTGTAATCCCAGCACTTTGGGAGGCCGAGGCAGGCGGATCATGAGGTCAAGAGAGGGAGACCATCCTGGCCAATATGGTGAACCCCATCTCTACTAAAAATACAAAAATTAGCTGGGTGTGGTGGCATGCGCCTGTAGTCCCAGCTACTCAGGAAGCCGAGGCAGGAGAGTCCCTTGAACCTGGGAGGTGGAGGTTGCAGTGAGCCCAGATCGCGCCACTGCACTCCAGCCTGGCGACGGAGCAAGACTCCAGCTCAAAAAAAAAAAAAAAAAAAAGCTGCAATTGTATAAAAAGAAAAAGATTACGTATACATGACATTTTCTACAAATGTGTGCAAGTATACATGAAGTTTCTGGAAGGCTATATTATAAACTAATACTCCTATGACTATGAATGAAGAGGACATCAATCGTTAGTTTCTTACATGCTTTTTGAAATATAAAATGAAAAGGCAAGGCACAACAGTGGGCTATTGAGATCCTGACCCCCATTCTCCTGTGGTCATGGGAGGTGGGGTAAATGTGTAGACTCCAGTGAAGCAGAATTAAGAAGGCATTCAAGAAGGCAGAGGGAGGCCTCGTGTGGTGGCTCATGCCTGTTATCCCAGCACTTTGGGAGGCTGAGGAGGGCAGATCACCTGAAGTCAAGAGTTCAAGACCAGCCTGGCCAACATGGCAAAATCCCGTCTCTACTAAAAATACAAAAACTAGCCAGACATGGCAGTGCATGCCTGTAGTCCCAGCTACTCAGAAGGCTGAGGTACAAGAATCGCTTGAATTCAGGAAGTAGAGGTTGCAGTGAGCTGAGATCATGCCAGCCTGGGTGACGGAATGAGATTCTGTTTCCAGAAAAAAAGAGGCAAGGCAGATGAGAGCAGGGCCTGCCTGGTCACCGTGAAAAGTCAACTTCTTTGCCACAAGGCAAACATACACCTTGTGTGCACAGGCTGCCAATCCATGGCCTATGGCCTGAAAGCAATGACTTTGGGATTAAAATAAAACAGGTGGTAGGACTCCTTGTCCATATCTTTTTATAGCAATAGGTAGAAAGGAGCTAATAGATAGGTCTGCTTTTTTTTTTTTTTTGAGATGGAGTCTTGCTCTGTCACCCAGGCTGGAGTGCAGTGGTGTGATCTCAGCTCACTGCAACCTCCGCCTCCAGGGTTCAAGTGATTCTCCTGCCTCAGCTTCCCAAGTAGCTGGGACTACAGGCACCTGCCACCACGCCTGGCTAATTTTTTTGTATTTTTAGTAGAGACAGGGTTTCACCATATTGGCCAGGCTGGTCTCAAACTCCTGACCTCAAGTGACCCACCCACCTCGGCCTCCCAAAGTGCTGGGATTACAGGCATGAGCCACCACACCAGCCTTTTTTTTTTTTTTTAAAGAGAATTTCAGAGAATTGGTATGCACAGAGATTACCAGAAGAAGCCGAGGCCCACTCACCGTATAATACTTCAGTTTCTTGTTGTGCATGTGAATGATATTGGTACAGACACCATTCAGAAAATCCTGGGAATGGGAGACGAGGACCAAGATGCGCTTAAAACTGTAAAGCCAAAGAACCAATTAGTGAAGAGCTCAACCATGGGAGCTAGCTGACAACAGGTGAACTGAAAGTCAGGCCCATCCTCATCCCTAAGCACCTTTTAGATGTGTTGTCCAATTCCTGGCTGTTAGCAAGCACCTAAGCCACGACTCGACAATCTAACTGTAAGGGTATTTGGACGCCTTTCAGTGTGGCGAGACAGCCTGAGTTTCCTCAATCTTCTGTTCTAATTTTCAACAGAATGGGATGGAGACGGTAGTAACAGTGATAGTAACCAGAAGTGTGTATGTACACAAATACACCCACGAATGTATCCAAAACTGTGGGTGGGAAGAACTGGTACAGACACAATAAAAAACAAAATGCTTTACTTTTTGAAAGAAGGTACTAAGTCATCGTACCACTAAAAGCCTTCTTTTAAAATTGGTACAATATTCCAGCTTATTCAGTTCTTTAGCTGTAGGACCATGACCATATTGGCTATATTTTCCTTTGTCACTGCATCATGATCTTAGATGGAAGACCTCTTTTTAGCTTTATACAATTAAGAAAAAAAATATATCTTTAATTAAGATCTTGAATTTGAAATATGGACAAAACCAACAAGGATTTTTTTTAAAAAAAAAAGCTCATAAATTTCAAACTAAAGAAAAACAATCAAAATAAAAGGCCAGCCTTCAACAGCCCTAAAGGTGCTCACTGCTTGTCCAAGAAAGTGAACTCTGTCCTTCCTTCAGTTCCTTTCTCACCGCTCTAACATCAGTGCAGTTTCTGGGCATCCATTTTCTAGATTCCCCCTTTGGGACCTGCCCGCTCACATCCCCCATTCCACCCTCTTACGTTTTTAGTTCTTCTTCCAACCACACGCAAGCATCTAGGTCCAGGTGGTTGGTAGGCTCATCCAGGAGCAGCATGAAGGGCCGAATAAAGAGGGCTCTGAAGGACGGTAAAGGAGACAGAAGCACCTCAGAATTATAATGGATGTGACACAGGACGGGACAAACTTGCCTGCTACATGCAATTCTGAGTAGGCTCCTGGCTTGAGTCTTGAAATCAATTTTAGGCTCTATACCTCAGAGGGAAAAGGAGAAGCAGGACAGAAACAAGAGTCGAAGAGAAGAGATTGAAGAGTAGAATACGGGGCTCAGAAGCATATAAGGACAGTTCGAGGCAAGGCTGTAGAAGTCTTTATGAGTTTATGAGCCTTGTGCACTGAAGTTGGAGACTACGGAGAAGACAAAAAAATACAGAGGAAATAAACTGCTAAAACAAATTAGACCTATCTGAAGGTCTGAAGATAGACCTATCTTGTGGGGTGGCCAGAGTCTAGCGAGGGATAGACTCTAAAGCTCTGGTTCCCAAACCAGAAATCTGTGTTTTTAAAAGCTCCTTGGGTGAACCGGAGGCAGCTAATCCTTGCTAGCATGTGGAACCACTGTGCTTATACTCTAAGGCACATGCAGGCAACTTTCTAGAGAAGTATATCAAGTCTTATAAATTCCCTTCACAGAGAATGATGGGGCAAGGAATTACCTGTTTAGTGACTCTGGGGGGATTATTGGGGGAATGCTGGTCTATGGAAACTCACTTTGAGTCCAGGCCACAAGAGAATAAGAACGACAGCTATCATAATAGCCGTCTAACATTTTATCTTTACAGCTGGAATTAGCAGGACTAGAGTACAAAAAGGGTGGAAAGGGAATCCTGGTGGGAGGACAGAAACAGACCTACTCCACCGTTTTACCTAGGACTACCCCTAGGATCTCTAAACTCTGTGCTGGGTGCTAAGAATCCAATAGAAAACTGAGTCACTCTACCACTTCAGCCAGGAAGCTCTCTCTCTAGCCCATACACAACAACCCCCTCCACACTGCAGATGTCCATGTCTCATTTGACACTTACCACTGACTCCTGTTCCAAACAGTTCCACTGGAGTGAACACTAAACACTGGAGAGATGGGGGAGTTATGGGGGTAGGGAAGGAGGGAGGGACTCACCTGGCAAGGGCAACCCTCATCCTCCAGCCCCCACTGAAGTCTTTTAGCTTCTTGCGCTGCATGGCAGGTGTGAAACCCAGTCCATGCAAGATCCGCGAGGCCCTCATCTCTGCCTTGTCGGCATCCAGCTCCTCCAGGCGCTCGTAGAGCTCCATGAGCTTCTCACACTCCGCTGTGGACAGTGTATGGCCATGAGGCTCCTGGGGGCCTTTCTGGGAGGACGCCCACCCCTATGCCCAGGTCTGGAGCCCTACCATCCTCATGAGCCAGCCGCTCTGCCTCTTTCTCCAGCATGGCCCGCTCTGTGTCGACTTCCATCACACAATGCAAGGGTGTCTTGTCACTAGGGGGCATCTCTCGAGTCAGATGGTAGATGTCGATGTGCTCAGGGATGGGCACTTCACGCTTCCCAATAGCAGAGAGCAGCATGGACTTTCCTGAGAGGGGAGAGCAGCAGACGCTTGGTACAGTGAACTCCCCTATCCCTCTTCACCACTAGTTCTTCCACCCCAGTCAAACTGGGACCTCATCCATTTTTTTTTTTTTGAGGACCTTTCTTCCCTTCATTCGTTCAAATCTTGCCAGCCCCCATTCTTGGGATTCCTTTCTAACTTTCCTCCAATTCTTGCCCCACCCCTTATCTGAAGCTTTTTTCACTTACCACAGCTTCACACGCCCCTGACCAACTTCTCCAGCACCTGCTGTAACTAATCATGTGGTACAGGGTGGACGCACCCTAATCTGAAAATCCAAAATGCTCCAAAATCCAAAACCTTTTAAGTGCTCACATGATGCTTAAAGGAAATGCTCACTGGAGAATTTCAGGTTTTTGGATTAGGGATGCTCAGCCGGTAAGTATAATGCAAATATTCCAAGATCCGAAACACTTCTGGTTCCAAGCATTTCAGATAAGGGATACTCAACCTGTACATAACACATACTGCTCTGCGTTGCTAGTTCCTTTCCCCTGGACATAATCTGGTCTCCCATCCCTATTCTAAATGCTTTGCTCTGAACACAGTTGATGCTAAATAAATGCTTGTGAGTGACAGATGAGCTAAGGAGAGATACCTCCCACCTCCCCTTCCAAGGCCTCACCAATTCCATTTAAACCAATGAGGCCATAACGACGGCCTGAGTTTAATTCCAGTTTGGTGTCACTGAGCAGCTCTTGACCATGAAAGGTAAGTGAGAGGTTGATGATGTGAACATCAGTACTGTTGGGGTGAGAGGCCAGGACGCCAGTGACAGCTCGAGCAGCAGCTTTCTTCATCTCAAAGTCCTCTAGCTCCTTGGTCAGCAAATCTACTTCTGCGGATAGAAAAGCAGTTTGGGAAGATGGCGTGAGACAGACTCGGCTCTCCACAAAGGTCAACGTCCTGAAGGACCAGGCTCCAATCCTGCTGAGCACTCAGATGTTTCCCAAACTTTACAGAGTGCACAATGACACAGAGCTGCCCCGACACCCTGCTTTCCTTTGTTTTGTCCTCCCATATCTGTTTACTTACTCCCATCACTCTTAACTTCTGTCCTCCACTACTGTGGCCAGGAATAAAACTTCCCCACAGCCTGACTTTATTGCTCTTTCTAATTGCTTTCTAAGTCCCCCTTTTCTGAACGCCTATCTGTTACAACTTGCAGACTAATTCTCCTTTCCTCTTCAAACATTTACTTAGTGTCTACCTGAGAAGCAAGTCATAAAAAAAACCCAAGACAGGGTCCTTGCACTCAAAGATGAAACAATTTAGACAAAGAAACAGGAGATACAACATAAAAAGGTAAGTAACACTAAAAGACAGCAAAAGGGTATAGAGAATGGAAATACTGTGGTCAGGTTTGACTGAGAGACGCTTCATTATCTTGAGCTGGGCCTTGACAGAAATGTCAAATGTAGCTAGCAAAAACATGATGGTATTATAATTCAGTGTGTGAAAGGACAGAGATGTGGTGACTATCCAAGAGATAATAAATAGTCTGGATGGAGCAGAAGGCTGTTTAGGGAGTTTTCAGGGGGCAGGGAAGAGGGCTGGGATTGGACTGCCAAGGGCCTGGAATAGTCTTTACCGCATATGGCCATGTTTCCCAGTCTAGACGGTAAGTTTTTGGAGGGAAGACGGTAGTGCCTCAGTGTATAGCACCATGTCTAGCACTTGAGAAATAATAAATATTTCCCAAAATATAAATAACAGAAAGGGAGCTCTCTCCCAGGAAAAACCCCATAAATCAACTCATAAGTTACTCTCTTGTAGGTAGAGCCACTACACCAGTGAGAGGACAAGCTTATTGTATAATGTAGCAAAGAACCTGGCACATTGGTCACCATGCATAGAAATGGAAACTGAGAAAGGGGCAGGGAACTGATCCCCTCCTCACAATCTAATAGAGCAGCAAGGCAGCTCAGCAACTCTCACATCCGCTTGCCACTGAGTATGTGAGAACCTCGTCTTCGGCTTCCTTGCGCAATGACAGGGTGGCACGAATTCCAACTCTACTGATTTGATTCATCATGAAAAGTTGCATGACACCAGATACATTCTCCACTACCCCCAGCATCAAGATTCCAACTCTGGCTGGGGCATGCATTAAGTCTTAGCAACCATCCCCAACTCACCCCTCCCTCAATTCACCTGTGGTCTCTCTGCCATTGGCCTCATTCTTCTCTGCCACCTGTGGTTCTGTGACAACATCTCCATTTTCTTCATGTCCTTTTCTGGGCCGCTGTCGAGCTTTGGCAGCCTCCTTCTTTTTGGCTGCCTTCTTCTTGGCCAGGTCGGAGGGCATGATGATGACCCACAGGGGTAGGTTACTGTTGTTTCAGGGAGCCTGAAGGAAGGCAAACAGATACCCCCAAACCCTAAACTTACTAGTAAGAATGCCTGGGCCCTGCTCCATCCCTCTCAGGAATCTTCGTATCAACATCAAGCCTCTGATGCCCTGGCCTGCCCCCGCCTCGTCTGTTCCAACTTGGTCAGGGTATCCCAAACCAATGCCGATTCTCAGCGGCTCTTCTAATCTTAACATCTCTTCCCACAGGCACCAGTCCCCCACGGACTGCCTCACTTTGGAAACGCTCCTTCTTTCAGGGCCTCCGGCTGGGGACCAGGTTCTGCCCCTCAGCGGAGGTCTCCGTCTCCGGTTTCCCTACAACTTGGCGCTCCGCACTCAGCTAGCCGCCTCACTTTCCGGGCTTCCTCCTCCCGTCCGTCTCGGGCCTCTTCTCGATCGTCCCTCTCCACATCACCCGGCCGTCGAGCCCAGCCTCTTGCCGGGACGCACTCGTCCTCGCCCGCGTGAGTCCCCTCCGAGTCTCCACGCTCGTCACCCCCGGGTCCTCCCCCACCCCGCCCGTCAGCTTCTCTCCCTTAGCCCTATCTTCCCCCTCGCAGAGCCCTCCATCCAAACCCCGTCCCTGCTTCCTCTTCTAATTCTCTTTCCCCCTCACCGGCGGGGACCCTCTCCCTACAGCTCCCCTTCCCCTAACTCACTGGGCCTCGCTGCTCGGCCTATGTCGCAACAGAGCTGCTCCTTAGGATCCTCCGCGTGCGGCCGGCTCACCAGCCAATCACGGCCTCGGGTGGTTCTCGGCGCGCCGCGCTGCCTCCTTGGAAGTGTAGTCCTCAAGTTGCAGCGGCCAAGAGTGAGACCCGCCTTGAGGACTACTATGTATCCCACAGACCTCGCGGGGCCGCGTGACGCCATCAGGATGCGCGAGGCTCGGGGAGGGGGCGGGATTAGAGTCCAAGAGCTCTCTGCTAGCGGGCGCACTTCGGGCGCTGGAAACTGCAAATCCCAGATTGCTCGTTGGATAAACCGGCTGAGCCTTCAGGCTTTACCCCACCTCTCGAAAATCCATTGAGCTGTTGTGGAGTTACGAGTTTTTAGAGCTACCTAACCGACTCAGGCAGCAGGGCGTGCAACTACACTTCCCAGCTTGCCTCAGCGGGAGTAGATCGAAACAATGGGAGAGGAGAGGTGGGAGCGTGAGGGGAGGACTAAAATGAAGGGGGCGCTGGGCAGGGAGGGGTTCCAGAAAGCGGGGCATCGCTGCAAAGATGTTGCCAACGGAATTCCTTCACGAAAGAAAGCGCCTTGGTTTCATTAAACCTTAATTTTAGAGGCTGGTTCATTGTTAAACTTTTAGAAGGTGCCAGACGTTGTTTTGGAACCTCGGCCGCTTAGCCTCCCCGCTGCCGCATTGTTAGGTTTCCACTGAAGCCATGCAAGTTTGGTGGAAAGGGCCCCGAGATAAAAAGGCCCCTTGGCTGAGATTTGTTTTATTATTAGTTAGCCATGCTACCGGGCCCGTTACTTTCCCTTTGAGTCTCACTGTTTAAAATCTCTCACATGACATTTTGGGCTGGATGGTTTAAAAATAAATACAATCTCTCAAGGACTTCACATTACCTACATTGTAAACTCCAAATGTTTAGCCTCAAGTACAAGGCAGGCCCTTTGTGATCTTTGTTACTTCTCCAGGCTCCTGTGCAGCAGAAGCCTCACCATCAGTGACGTTTGGGGCAGCAAAGGAAGCTATTGCTCCCTTTGAGCATATTCTCCAAATGTGGCACCTTTTCGCCCACAGTCCGTGACTCAAACAATGAGAATTAGTTTTTCTTCTCAAACTCATACTTCAGTAGAACTTACCTACTTAAATAGTTCGGAGATTAAGCGTGCTATTTTACACCTGCATGCCTTTGAACATACATTTTCCTAGAATATCCTCCACCAACGAAGTGCCTACTATCTGTCAGGCTCAGATATATGTGCTGGAGTTGCAATGGTGCAAAGTCACTCCCTGACCTCAGGGAGCTCATAATAAAGAAGGAACATGTGAAAAGTAAACAAGCCGGGTGTGGTGGCTCACACCTGTAATCCAAGCACTTTGGAAGGCCGTAGTGGGAGGATCATTTCAGCCCAGGAGTTCAAGGCTGCAGTGAGCTATAATCAAACCACTGCACTCCAGACTGGGTGACAAAACTAGACCCTGTCTCTAAAAAAACAAAAAACAAAAAAAACAGACCTTGACACCATGAAATTAAGTGCCCTAAACGAAGTGACTTTCGTGTGTTGCTGGGGTACCTAGGTGGAGACCTCACTTGGCATAGCATAATTAAGAGCATAACCCCAGTTCTATGCTTCATTGTGTGGCCTTGGGCAAAGTACATGTTCTCCTCTGTAAAATGGGAATATAGTTACAAAAAGAATACAGTTAAATGACTGTAAAACCCTTCTGTATGAAGCAAAAGAGTTATTTATGGGCCGGGCACGGTGGCTCACGCCTGTAATCCCAGCACTTTGGGAGGCCGAGGCCAGCGGATCACGAGGTCAGGAGATCGAGACCATCCTGGCTAACACGGTAAAACCCCGTCTCTACTAAAAATACAAAAAATTAGCCAGGCATGGTGGCGGGCACCTGTAGTCCCAGCTACTCGGGAGGCTGAGGCAGGAGAATGTCGTGAACCTGGGAAGTGGAACTTGGAGTGAGCCGAGATCACGCCACTGCACTCCAGCCTGGGCAACAGAGCGAGACTCCATCTCAAAAAAAAAAAAAAGTTATTTATGATTGTGGATCACATAAAAAGCACTCATTTGGCTGAGTGTGGTGGCTCATGACTGTATTCCCAGCACTTTGGGAGGTGGAGGCAGGTGGATCTTTTGAGCTCAGGAGTTCAAGACCAGCCTTGGCAACATGGCGAAGTCCTATCTCTATTAAAAAAAATACAAAAATTAGCCGGGCGTGGTAGCGCATCGCTGCGGTCCCAGTTACCCAGAAGGTCAAGGCTGCAGCAAGCTGAGATCGTACCACTGCGCTCCTACCTGGGCAACAGAGCAAGACCCTGTCTCAAAAAACAAAACACAACAAAGAAACAGATTCAAGCGCCTGTGCCTCCTGGGAGAAATATGCTTCTCCTTTCCCAGCCTCGTTTAAAAATGTGTGGTTACAGATAACAATATTTATTATGCTTTTTCATTTATGCCATCACATTAAACTCCCCACCCCCAACAAACTCCGAGGTGAGGATTATTACCATTTTGCAGATCAGGAAACTACGGTGACAAGCAGCTCTGGGCAGCTCTGTTGCCTAGGCTGGAGTTCAGTGGCACGATCATGGCTCACTGCAACCTCGACCTCCTGGGCTCAAGCGATCCTCCCACGTTGGCCTCCCAAGTAGCTGGGACTACAGGCAAGCACCACCATGCCTGGCTAATTTTTGTTTTTTTTTTTCAGAGATGAGGTTTTGCCATGTTGCCCAGGCTGGTCTGGAACTCCTGGGTTCAAACGATCTGCCCACTTTGGCTTCCCAAAGTGCTGGGATTACAATTCCAGGCATGAGCCACTGCACCTGGCTACAGTTTTTAAATTTTACATAGAGATGGTGTCTTCTTATGTTGCCCAGGCTGGTCTCAAACTCCTGGGCTCAAGAGATCCTCCTGCCTCGACCTTCTGAAATCCTGGTATTACAGGTGTGAGCCACCATCCCTCCCCCTGCCCACCCTGCCCTGGGTTTAGCCAGAGAAAAGAACTCGGGATGAGGGGAGAAGAAACAGGGAAAGAGAAATGGGAAAATGGGGGAGAAAAGGAGGTGAGTAAAGAGAGAGGAGAAAGGGACTGGCTAAATTTGAAAAAAATCACAGAAGGTCAGTGCTGGAAACAAGAATATTTGGCTTAGACTCTGTTTAAATTATGAAGAAACGGAGACCCAAGGAAGGAAATGTCTCTTGGAGAATTACCTAGGAACTTAGTAACTGAAAAGGATCTGGACCTGCAGTGTTCAGTATGGTAGCCTCCGGCCATATGTGGCTATGGAGCACTTGAAATGTGGCTAGTCTGAATTGAGATTTGCTGTTAAGTGTAAAATACACATCAGACTTCAAATATTCCATATAAAAAAAGAATGTAAAGTATCTCATCAATAATTTTTCATATTGACTCCATGTTGAAATGATTGGGATATATCTAATAATACAATAAAATATTAAAATTAATTTTACCTTTTTTAACTCTAAAAAATGTGGTTACTAAAAAATTTTAAACAACATATATGGCTCACATTTGTGGCTTGCACTAGATTTCTACTGGACAGCGCTGGTCTAGAAATCTTCTGACCTTGAGCTAAGTGTATCTGCTGTTTCCCAGTCTCTTCCAACAAGTCATTTACAACCTATCATGTGCCAGCTGATGAGAACAGATTCAGTTGCAGTCTAAGGATGAGACTAAAACAGGGATAACAGGTGCTGGTAGGCAATATCAGTGAGTTCTATCTTATATACTCCTAGAATGGTATCTATAAGATATACATACAAGATATTCTTGAGTGGTTCTTAACTTTACCAGCCCCAATGTTCCATTTTAATAACATTTTTATAACTCCCCATTTACTATTGTGAAATGAAGTTTATAGATAGTATAGCCTAACTACATACATAATTTCAAAAAAAATTATAGTGTCTGAACCAAAGCAGAAAGAATAAAAGGAAATCCTTTATAATAAGATAATACTTTTCAGTATGCTAGAAAGCATAATTAGTCAGATGCTAGTAGTTATGCATAGGAGCACCTTGAATGTGACAGTACAAATGCAGACTGAACGCTATGAATAACACTGCTATCAGTGACCCAGTTCTCCAAAATGGTGAGTAATTCCTAATAAATTCCTGAACACAACAAAGTATAATCTTCCTTCTGTTAACATGGTGGTTACATTCCTTAAAAATTCAGCACATTTTACACCCCTACAAGATTACTTTGTTTTTTGTATATAAGACACAGGCACATCAGATGATTATAACCAGTTTTTTTTTAACCTATATGAATATTCAGTAGGACATGTGAAAGCTGTGTGGGATCAGGACAGTTTTCTTGTGTGATACCATCTTGCAATGTGCAAGACATGGAGCCTCCTTGGCTCCTCTCCCCCAATCATTTGACAACAAAATTGCCCCGAACATTTCCAAATTGCTCCTTAGGGAGGGTGCCATTCTGGTTGGGGAACCACTGTGGTGGTCTGAATGCTTTACCTGTTCCCTGTTCCCCAGCCTTACCTTGGGCTGTTCTCCCCTCACCAGGCTCAAAGATGCCCTGGGCCTTCCCAGTTCTTCTCCAAGCCAATCTCTTTCCTCTCTCAGGACATTCTGGTGCTCTTTTCTTTGCCTGGAAAACTGTCCACTTCATGTCTGGATAACTTTTCCTGAACCTTTGGATCTCAGCATTGCCAAATTCCCAGTCTAATTTAATACTTTGTTTAGTTTTTCCACAGGACTCTGTGCTTTTCTGCAATGGTACTTATCAGACTGGGATTTCTACCTGTTTTATTCTTGCTATGTCAAGCGTGTTTATTACCTGTCTCCCTCAACTTTCAGTTCCCTGAGAGCAGGGACCATGCCCATCTCGTCCACCGCTTGTTTACCCAGCACTCACGAAGATGCCCGGAACTTAGCATCCTTAGATGAACGTACGTGCCTGGCAAACAACAAACATTTCTTAGGCAACTGAAAGGCTGATGGGATTCCACAGCCAATTGGGAGAAAAGCGCTCTCGAGGGTGGGGGTATGCTTTTTCCAGGGCAGATGGTGTTCAGCCCAAGTTACGGGGCAGCTTTGGTCCACTCTGGATTTGCCTGGATTCGCGTATGTGGGGGCGAACGCGTCTTATCGGGGGGCGGCCGGTTGGGGCCAGGCAGCCCGGATCCCAGCCGAGGAGGTGCGCGGTGCTGAGAGGCCGTGGGAGCGACCATAGAGAACGCGCGGGCGGAGCGAGCGGCCGGATGCGGTCACCATAGAGACGGGTGACTGACAGGCAGCGGAAGAGGAAGCTGCGGACAGGGGCTGTGAGGTGGCAGCGGCTGCAGCGGCGGAGCCGGCGCCTCAGCGGGCACTGGGGTCTGTTCCCCCTTCCCCGTCCCTGCTCCCTGCCAGGCGCGTGCGGGACGCCGCTCTTGGTCCCCACGCCTCCGCCCCGCCCCCTCCCGGGACGCCGGGAGACCCCGGCCGTCCTTTATCCGGTGTCCGCCGGCCCCCGGCCCTGAAACCCGGGCCTCCTCCCCGAGGGCCTTGGGCGTCCCTCCTGGTCCTGCGCTCGCGGCCTCGATGCTGTCTCTGGCGCGGCCTCCGCTCCCGCCGACTGGCCTGAGAACGAGGTCTGTGCCCCAGTCTCCCAGCCGCGACCTCCGACCCCGCCTCGCAGAACGACCCGAGCTGGTCTCCCGAGCCCCCTTCTCAGCAGCCCGGTGACGTGGCCAGTTTATTTCTGTTTTGAGACGAACGGCGAAGACTCGCGTCGGGTCTTCGTTCTAGGGCTAGACTTGGTCTCTGATCGCCGAGAGGTAGCGCAGGGGCTGTGGGCCCCCGGCAGGGGTCCTGTCGGAAGCTGGCCGCGCTTCTGTTTGCGTTCCCAGGACCCTGGCATTGTCTCTAGTTGCTGCTTGTGCTCTCTCTTTGCTTTTGGTTTGCTTCATTTGGCCCCTGGGGCCCTGGTAAAACCAGGCACCGAATCGCTCGCACACAGAGTTCCAGTCCCCGCCTGCTGTCTCCTCAGCAGCTGGGGTTCCGAGGAGAATGCCCTGCAAGATGGCTCCATCGGCCATGGCGCTCCTGAGAGGCTGTCAGTGCTGAGTCACCGATCTACCTCATTCGGGTGGGCAGAACTTATGTGTGCCATGCGAGTGGCTCCAGACCGCTCCTGAGTGGGAGGAGGGGTTCCTGTAGCCGTTGCGTCTTCTCAAACACGGGGAGCAGAGTAGAAAGAGGCTCTGGCCCCTTCCCTTGTGCCCACCGGGCCTGCCGCAGTGGCTCAGCAGCCCCTTCAGTAGCCCGCCTGAGGACCGATGCCAGAGGCAGGCATTCTTCCGGAAAGGCCCACTGAGGCAGGCTCCGGCTCCTCTGGTTGGGGCTGTTGTTTTGATGGATCGTGTGCTTTTCCCTTACCTCTTATCACTTGCTGTCATCTGTTGACTTAGGCCCAGTCTGCAGATGTGTGTAGTGTTCCTTTTTGGGTTAGCTTTGGCAGTATTGAGTTTTACTTCCTCCTCTTTTTAGTGGAAGACAGACCATAATCCCAGTGTGAGTGAAATTGATTGTTTCATTTATTACCGTTTTGGCTGGGGGTTAGTTCCGACACCTTCACAGTTGAAGAGCAGGCAGAAGGAGTTGTGAAGACAGGACAATCTTCTTGGGGATGCTGGTCCTGGAAGCCAGCGGGCCTCGCTCTGTCTTTGGCCTCATTGACCCCAGGTTCTCTGGTTAAAACTGAAAGCCTACTACTGGCCTGGTGCCCATCAATCCATTGATCCTTGAGGCTGTGCCCCTGGGGCACCCACCTGGCAGGGCCTACCACCATGCGACTGAGCTCCCTGTTGGCTCTGCTGCGGCCAGCGCTTCCCCTCATCTTAGGGCTGTCTCTGGGGTGCAGCCTGAGCCTCCTGCGGGTTTCCTGGATCCAGGGGGAGGGAGAAGATCCCTGTGTCGAGGCTGTAGGGGAGCGAGGAGGGCCACAGAATCCAGATTCCAGAGCTCGGCTAGACCAAAGTGATGAAGACTTCAAACCCCGGATTGTCCCCTACTACAGGGACCCCAACAAGCCCTACAAGAAGGTGCTCAGGTGAGAGCAACATGTGTGCATAGTCCCCAGACACTGGCCCTGTTTTGGGCTGGTGTAAATCCTTGCCTCTGCCTTTCCATTGGCAATCGGCGTCGGGCGACTTGGAGCAATTCTGGCTTATTTTCCATCATGGTTTCTTTCTGTTTTTTCCCTCCTTCTCAGGTCTTAGAAAGTCTCACATTCATTGGTGTTAAATTAGGGTTCGATGTTTTTTGTTTGTTTTTGTTTTGTTTTGAGACGGAGTCTTGCTCTCGTCGCCCAGGCTGGAGTGCAATGGTGCGATATTGGCTCACTGCAATCTCTGCCTCCCAGGTTCAAGTGATTTTCCTGCCTCAGCCTTGCGAGTAGCTGGTATTACAGGTGCACACCACCACGCCCAGCTAATTTTGTATTTTTAGTAGACATGAGGTTTCTTCATGTTGGTCAGGCTGGTCTTGAACTCCTGACCTCAGGTGATCCACCTGCCTCGGCCTCCCAAAGTGCTGGGATTACAGGCGTGAGCTACCGTGCCCAGCCAGGGTTCGATGTTCTTGAACAGAGGAGGAATTGCATCTAACCTACCTAATCTATCCTTGGTAGACTCCCTCCCCTCCCAAATCAATTCGTGTCAGCTACTTAGTGGATACTCAGTTCAGTACCTAATTAATATTGACAAGGAAGGAAGTTTCTCCCTTCTCAGCCCCAACTCACTCCTAGAGGGGGATGTATATTCTGAACAAGCTGGGTTCCTAAAGATTAGGGAGTTGACCTCTGGCACACTGGTCTTTCCACAGGACTCGGTACATCCAGACAGAGCTGGGCTCCCGTGAGCGGTTGCTGGTGGCTGTCCTGACCTCCCGAGCTACACTGTCCACTTTGGCCGTGGCTGTGAACCGTACGGTGGCCCATCACTTCCCTCGGTTACTCTACTTCACTGGGCAGCGGGGGGCCCGGGCTCCAGCAGGGATGCAGGTGGTGTCTCATGGGGATGAGCGGCCCGCCTGGCTCATGTCAGAGACCCTGCGCCACCTTCACACACACTTTGGGGCCGACTACGACTGGTTCTTCATCATGCAGGATGACACATATGTGCAGGCCCCCCGCCTGGCAGCCCTTGCTGGCCACCTCAGCATCAACCAAGACCTGTACTTAGGCCGGGCAGAGGAGTTCATTGGCGCAGGCGAGCAGGCCCGGTACTGTCATGGGGGCTTTGGCTACCTGTTGTCACGGAGTCTCCTGCTTCGTCTGCGGCCACATCTGGATGGCTGCCGAGGAGACATTCTCAGTGCCCGTCCTGACGAGTGGCTTGGACGCTGCCTCATTGACTCTCTGGGCGTCGGCTGTGTCTCACAGCACCAGGTGACAGCTCTTTCAAGTCAGTCCCAGTCCCTGATAAGCTAGTGGGGGATGAGTGATTGGCCTTCCTCCCAGCAGCACCTTAGAGGCCATTGTTCCCCCTTCCTGGCCACTGGCCGCTCTGTGGGCCCTCCGTTGCTCACCTTTGGCAATCTGAGAACCTGGGGCTATCAAAAGTAGTATCTTGTTAGGAACCCCTAAGCAAGACCAAAGGGTGCTCCTACTCAGCAGTCCTTCTCCCCTGCCCCCCTGCCCTCCACACCTCCCCCGACATCCACACTTCAGTTATGGCAGTGTGGGCATGTCTTAGAGATGGCTAGTCTCCAGAGAAGTGAGGTGATCACTTTTCCAGCCCAGAGAGCTGCCCTGTTTCTTGTGCTGGAGAAGAGTGGAAGAACCCAGAGGTGGCTCATCCTCTCAAACCAAAGTATTGGGAGGATTTTCTGGCTTGTGTCATTCATTCCCTTGAAGAACAATGGGAATCTTTGGGGGAAGAAAGTATCATTATTATTATTTTTAATATGTTATTTCTGTGATGGCTCCTTGCAGAGCAGGGCTAGCCTGTAAGCAATGCACTGAGAGTAGCCGAGAGTGTCCTTAGTTGCCTACTTGCTTTCTACTTTCCAAAATGTGGGCAGTGAAAGAACTGGGGTTAAGCGAGGTGCTGGAAAGGGTGCCTCTTCTGTCCTCTGTTCTAACGCAGCAGTGCTAACAGATGTGAACACTGAGTATGGTTAAGGGCGGTTTGGGACTGGCAGCTCTTGTGTGTGTCATTGATTGGTCTGATTGTCCCTCTAGGGGCAGCAGTATCGCTCATTTGAACTGGCCAAAAATAGGGACCCTGAGAAGGAAGGGAGCTCGGCTTTCCTGAGTGCCTTCGCCGTGCACCCTGTCTCCGAAGGTACCCTCATGTACCGGCTCCACAAACGCTTCAGCGCTCTGGAGTTGGAGCGGGCTTACAGTGAAATAGAACAACTGCAGGTGAGCTGAAGAGGAGCAGGTGGGCAGAGGACCGCAGTCAGAGGGTCAGAGAGAGCCTGAGATGTCCAGGCGTGCAATGAACGAGCAGCTGGCAGTGGGGCTGGGCTAGGCCCTGTATAATGGCAGGGCAGGAAGAGGCCGACCATACTTAAATTTAAAGCAACTACAGGGACAAAGGTCTTTGGGGGTCCAAAGCAATCATAAGGTAAGCTCCCAGCACAACTTGAATGCAGCTAAAGGGGTTTGCAAGTAGACTCTGAGGATCAGGAAGCTCCGCACAGTGTTCAGACAGAATAGTTTTAGCTCCTCCTCAATAGTGCCTGTCCACTGAGGAGGCAAAAACTCTGAAGTTTCTTTACTTCTAGAACTGTCCCAAGAAAGCCCAAGGGTAGAAGGGAGAATTCTCAAGTTGAACGTCAGGCTTGGCAGAGGTGGAGTGTAGATGAAAACAAAGGTGTGATTATGAAGAGGATGTGAGTCCTTTGGGTGTAGGAGAGAAAGGCTGTTGAGCTTCTATTTCAAGATACTTTTACCTGTGCAAAAAGCACATTTTCCACCTCCTTCTCATGGCATTTGTGTAAGGTGAGTATGATTCCTATTCCATCTGCATTTTAGAGGTGAAGAATAACGTACAAGGGATTCAGTGATTAGCAAGGGACCCCTCACTAAGTGTTGATGGAGTTAGGACAGAGCTCAGCTGTTTGAATCTCAGAGCCCAGGCAGCTGGAGCTGGGTAGGATCCTGGAGCTGGCACTAATGTGAGGTGCATTCCCTCCAACCCAGGCTCAGATCCGGAACCTGACCGTGCTGACCCCCGAAGGGGAGGCAGGGCTGAGCTGGCCCGTTGGGCTCCCTGCTCCTTTCACACCACACTCTCGCTTTGAGGTGCTGGGCTGGGACTACTTCACAGAGCAGCACACCTTCTCCTGTGCAGATGGGGCTCCCAAGTGCCCACTACAGGGGGCTAGCAGGGCGGACGTGGGTGATGCGTTGGAGACTGCCCTGGAGCAGCTCAATCGGCGCTATCAGCCCCGCCTGCGCTTCCAGAAGCAGCGACTGCTCAACGGCTATCGGCGCTTCGACCCAGCACGGGGCATGGAGTACACCCTGGACCTGCTGTTGGAATGTGTGACACAGCGTGGGCACCGGCGGGCCCTGGCTCGCAGGGTCAGCCTGCTGCGGCCACTGAGCCGGGTGGAAATCCTACCTATGCCCTATGTCACTGAGGCCACCCGAGTGCAGCTGGTGCTGCCACTCCTGGTGGCTGAAGCTGCTGCAGCCCCGGCTTTCCTCGAGGCCTTTGCAGCCAATGTCCTGGAGCCACGAGAACATGCATTGCTCACCCTGTTGCTGGTCTACGGGCCACGAGAAGGTGGCCGTGGAGCTCCAGACCCATTTCTTGGGGTGAAGGCTGCAGCAGCGGAGTTAGAGCGACGGTACCCTGGGACGAGGCTGGCCTGGCTCGCTGTGCGAGCAGAGGCCCCTTCCCAGGTGCGACTCATGGACGTGGTCTCGAAGAAGCACCCTGTGGACACTCTCTTCTTCCTTACCACCGTGTGGACAAGGCCTGGGCCCGAAGTCCTCAACCGCTGTCGCATGAATGCCATCTCTGGCTGGCAGGCCTTCTTTCCAGTCCATTTCCAGGAGTTCAATCCTGCCCTGTCACCACAGAGATCACCCCCAGGGCCCCCGGGGGCTGGCCCTGACCCCCCCTCCCCTCCTGGTGCTGACCCCTCCCGGGGGGCTCCTATAGGGGGGAGATTTGACCGGCAGGCTTCTGCGGAGGGCTGCTTCTACAACGCTGACTACCTGGCGGCCCGAGCCCGGCTGGCAGGTGAACTGGCAGGCCAGGAAGAGGAGGAAGCCCTGGAGGGGCTGGAGGTGATGGATGTTTTCCTCCGGTTCTCAGGGCTCCACCTCTTTCGGGCCGTAGAGCCAGGGCTGGTGCAGAAGTTCTCCCTGCGAGACTGCAGCCCACGGCTCAGTGAAGAACTCTACCACCGCTGCCGCCTCAGCAACCTGGAGGGGCTAGGGGGCCGTGCCCAGCTGGCTATGGCTCTCTTTGAGCAGGAGCAGGCCAATAGCACTTAGCCCGCCTGGGGGCCCTAACCTCATTACCTTTCCTTTGTCTGCCTCAGCCCCAGGAAGGGCAAGGCAAGATGGTGGACAGATAGAGAATTGTTGCTGTATTTTTTAAATATGAAAATGTTATTAAACATGTCTTCTGCCAAACTGTTTTTAGGTCTAGGGAAAATTGAGTAAGGAGAAGAATCCAAGGGAAGGGAATGGGGAGTCGTCCCGAGGGACCCACTGCCTCCCCACCTTCTTCCCTTCCCCTTCTCTCCCCCTCCCCTCCCCAGTTTCCAATGACCACACGGCTGCTGTCAGATGAATGACTTTTAATCCAGCCCCACACCCCAAGGTGGCAGAGGAGTGATGCTGGAGCCCGGGGCAAAATGCTGGGGCCCGGGACACGGCTGAAAGTTCCGTCGTGCTGCTTATTTTTGGGCTCCTAGGTGTTGCGCACAACCAGCGACTGCTCCAGCTCCTGCCTGCGCTGCTGGATCTTTAGAGGAAGTGAGAACAGGAGCAGGTGTCAGTGTTCTGGTGAGTGATCAGGACAATCCCACCTACTGACACCGCCTGCCCTGAAAGAGCATCTGGGAGCAGGGAGGGCCATTGCATGGTGAGGCAGCGTGGTGAAGCTTTACTGTGGGGAGCTGCGAGGGCTGCCCACAAGCTGAACAGGGAGGTTTCTCTTGGAGTTGAGGATGGGGAAGCCTCAGGGCAAGGGTCCCTGCATACCTTGCAGTAGAAGTAGCGACTGACGGCCTCCTGGGACCAGGGCTGGTGGTAGAACTCAGCCCGGCGCTCCTCTTCAGGGTTGCCGGCTACATCTGTCATCACCTGGGAGGGAGCGTGGGGTGAGCCCTGAGCCCTGAATCCCCTCACCTGCCCCTGGAGTACAACGTTTACTCTCTTTCCCGCTGTGCTTGTCTTCCACTCCAGTACTCCCTGAGTCTCCCTCTTCACCTTGAGGTCCCGGCTCTGGGAGCGGAGCAGGTCTTGGACATAGCCTTTGGGGTCTCTGGAGAAGCTTAGCATGAAGTCCCTCTGGATCTTGAGCTGGTTTATGGACTCAATCGTCTCATGGATCTGCAGGTAGAAAGATAGATGCTTTCCACCTGGCTTTGGTGATGTGGGAGACGAGGGGAAAGGAAGCGGGTGGGAAGGGGAGGGAGAGGGGGTTTCTTCTGTGAAGGACAACCCCTCAGAGCCCCTGATTTCTCTGAAGTCCCAGGGGAGGAGGGGATGGGCAGAACTAAACTTGGAATGAGGTTCAGCTCCAAGCAGCATGGACGGGCCATGTGTGTCCCATTGGCCCAGAGTCTGGTCTCTTTTTTTTTTTTTTTTTTAATTTAACCCAGACTGCTCATCTGCAACCACACCCTGGTCTCAGAAAAGTCTCCTCTATCATCTCTGGGTTAATGTCCCACTCCAGCTCTGGGCTTGGGCCCCACCTTACTGTCCAGAGCACTGATCTCCTGCTGGTTGGCCGTGGATAGGAGGAAGCTGCTCATCTGCCCCTTTAATGGCTCCTCCACCTCCACGTCAATGTCATAGCACGCCGTCTTCTTCTGGTCTGAAGGGTCCACGCTGCCAGGGAAGTCCAGCCCTTCGTGTCCACGATGCCCCCATACGGCCCCAGGGCCCCGGGGCTGGGGCAGATCCAACAGGGAGGGAGAAGAGATGGGAGTGGGAGGAGAGGGAGGGGCAGGGAAGGCAGGAACGAGATCATTCCCTGGTCTGAGAAGCAAGCTGGGGCCACCTCACCTGATGACATGGTTGATGACAATTGGGTCAGGGGGCAATAGCAGGGCTGTGAGGCGCTGGGGAATCTCAGAAAACTTCAGCCGGGGACAATCAAAAATCTGAAGCAGGACAATTGGGGAGAGAGAGATCACTCTTCTTGAAGAGATCATCATGCAGTTGTAGATCCTTTTGTTCTAGAAAGGCCACAAGAAGCTGAGAGGAAGTCTGATTCCTCAGTGCGCATGGGGATGGGATTGGGGTGGGCTGGTCTGGTGGTGGAGCCACCGGTATGGCTGACAAGATAGGGGGTGGGTCAGTGTGGGGCAGGGGTTGAGAGTGCGGGCCCTGGGTCAGCCTGCTTATGTATCAGTCCTGCCTCTGCCACTTACTATGCAACCTGGAGCAAGTTAACACCTCAGGGCTCAGTGTCTTCATCTCTAGAGTGGGGATGAAAAGAATACCTATCTCCCAGGGCTGCCGTGAGAAGTCAGTGAACTAATACACATAAAGTGCTTGGGACAGTGCCTGGCACATGGTAAGTGCCCAATAAATATCAACTGCTATTTTTACTCCTCAGGTTTATCTGCTGTATTTATTTTTAAATGCATTAATAAGAATATTCTCTGTTTTGGTGGAATTTTGCTCAATCACTTTTGCAGCAATTTGATTTTCCTAACTGCCCAGGAGAGTAGATAGGACAGGTATTGTCACTCCACTTCAAAGATAAGGAAACAAGGTTCAGAATCGCTGAGTCACTTACCCAGAGTCCAGACTCAGGACTAGAACCTGGGGATCCTAACTCCAAGTGCCAAGAATATTACATTCCAGAAAGCGGTTGGCTTTGTAGGGTTTCCAGGTCTTCCTAACTTGGGGGGGCTAACATGGATTGGCTGCAGCACAGAGCTAATCCACAGTAGGGCCTGAACTAGAATCCTGGTCGGTCTCTTGGCTCCAAGACCATGACTGTGTACTGCTTCTGCTACTCAGGAATCTAGAAGGGAGGGGTGGTAGTTACCTTGGTAGAGGTACTTCCCCTGCTGGAGAACTCCGCCTGCTCCCCAGATCCCAGGGTTCAGGAGAGAGGTTACCTGCTGGAAATACTTGTCCCCATTGATGTATTCCTTGTCATGGGAGTCCTGCAGCCTGTTGGTCTTCACATACTGCCACAGGGCCTGGACAATGGCTGAGCGGCTCTGTGTGTGCAGCCCCAGCAGCCGGGCTAGGCGGGGATCCAGTTTGAACTGGGGAGGCTGGGAAAAGGGGACTGTGAAAGTTAGACCAAAGGGAGAGAAAGGAAGGAGCCCAGGGCCAGGCCATTCAGGACTAGGGGGATGTGTTGATTGAGGAAACATGCCCCTGGGGAAGGATAGGTTTGGGAGGGGAAGGAGGTCTCTCAAGATGCACCACTTTGGGACCTAGCCCTGCCCTGAGGGCCTTGTGTGGCGTGTACGGGGCAGCATGGCAGGTGCAGACCTGGTAGTCCAGCATGAGGAGCAGCGTGCAGCGCACACTCAGGTCCCCAGGCCGTTTCACCTGGAAGCCGTCCGTCTCCTGGGTCGTGGGTGTCCGATGCCACTGTCCAGGAGAGAAGAGCTGTGTCTCCCAAAGGCCCATCTGGAGTGGTGGGGCCCAGGACTCTAGGGTGGTCCCTGACCCAAATCTGTGCTGGTTCTTCAGGGATTCTGGCCTGTGGGAGGGTGGCAATTCAAGGGCGGAGGGGCTCTTGGTCTTACCTCAACGAGGTGGTTGTCAGGGCCATAAAGATCTTTGTCCAGCTCGATGACCAAACTCTTGAAGAAAGAAGAGAACTTCCGCTTCTGTTTGCTGGGCTGTGGGAGAGCAACAGGGACCATGGGGGCAGAACAGGGACGAGGTGGGAGGAGCAGAAGGAGGCCAAGTTGGCAGCCGACAGGGCAGTGGGCTTAGATGAAATCCTCTGCACTTGGAATGTCTCTAGGCCTGCCCCTCCACCCAGCCTGGGCTGACTCCCTAGCCCTTAGTGCAGACACCTTGTTCTGTTCTCAGTGCAGCCCATGCCCACCCCAGGACACCTGGAGAGACCTGGGCCGGGACGTACATCATCCAGGAGCTTCCCCTCCACCCGTAGCTCCCAGGAGGCAATGCTGCCGTCGGAATCCTCAGCATCAGGCTTCGCAGGGTTAAAAGTGTTGGAGATATAGAGTCGCAGCTTCCGCTTTTGCTGTAGAAATAGAGTGCAGAACCGGGCGAATGCTGTGTGCTCCCACCCCGACCACCCTGCTTCCCCATCCTGGTCACACAACTCTAGAGTCCCCTTCCTACCCCCGAACTAAGGCACCTTCATGGGCCTCTTCAGAGCCTCCTGGATGTCCACCCGCTTCCGCATGATGGTTTGATCCAGTTTCCTCTCAAATGCCAAGAGGTCCATGTAAGCCTGGGACTCGGGGACCAGCTCCCGAATCTGGAGAAGGAGGAGCAGGGCAGGAGTCAGAGGCTCAAGTCCAGGGTTGTACCATGGAATGTATGCATGTTGTGCAATCCTAGGGTACAAAAGATGTCAGGGGAGCCATCCTACTTTTGGGCATGTAGCTTTGACAGTGGGAACAGGACCTCTCCCCAGGATGCCATTATCCAGCAGTAGGGGCCTTGCTGTGTAGGGATAACAATTGCTTCTCCCTTTAGGAAGTGCCTTGTGTTTCATCATCAGGGAGGAGGTAGCAACGGTGGAGCTCAGCAAGCACTAGCCTTTAGTCTCCTCATCTTGTCATTGTCCATATCATATGCCTGCTGGGCTTCCCCTGGGCCCCTGCAAAGTGCCTAGTAGGGGCTCAATCCCTGAGACAGTTGGACAGCGGTGCTTTCTTCTCTGCTGGCACCTTGCTCAGCCCCCACACCTGTCCCAACTGTGCTGTCCCCATACCCAGCTGGACCTGGGTCTCTTTAGGATGCTCAGGATCTCTGGCCACCTTCTATCCCCTTCATTCTGCCTGGCAGCTTCTGATCCCCTAGCTCTTGCCCCCTCCTGGTCCCACAGCTCTATAGTACCACTTGGATCAAACCCCCTGACAGGCCCCTGTGTTCTGGCCCCAGTGGCTCTGCTGCTTCCCTCCACCTCACCCCCTCCCTCTGGCCTGCGGAGCCTCACTTATTAATGAGCTTTTTTAAACAAAAAGTGAAAGTGACTGTGATGCTGAAGCTCTGCTTCTGAGGGGGGAGGGGAGGGCGGAGCAGCAAAGGGTGGGGGGTGGGCTGGGGGCTGCTGTGAAAGGCACTCACCCTTTGAGGGAGGATTTTGTCAGCCATCTTCCTCCTCTTGGCACTGTACATTTTTTAAAGAAAAAACCAGGTTACCATGGCGACAGATCTGGGCGTAACGAGGCCACCTGCTAGATTATCCCGACATCTCCGCCCGCCTGGCTGGGGTTCCCACAGCCCACTTGTCTGCCCGCCCAAGGGCTGTGACGGTGGTGTGTGGAACCGGTGCTCTGTCCTCTCTCAGGACACAGGAGTGACCCATCCATTCTCTGGCCTGGGAGCCCCCTTCTACCCTGCCACATCCTCAGGGACAGAGAAATTTAGACAGGAGGGACTGGCTGGTGGGGGCGGTGCTGCCAAAAGATGCGAGCTGCAGAAGTGTTTGAGGAAAGGTGGGGATGAGGGAGGACAAAGGAGAGGGAAGCCAGGTTCTGAAGACCTTTTCTGGAAAGCAGGGGGTGCCCTGTCCAAAGGGGCCTAAGCTCAGAGGGAGGGAGAGAGACGAACTCCTTCCTATCCATGGAGCGGGAGGTGACGGTGTGAAGCTGGCGGGACTTGCACCCCTTCCAGCCACCCTGGGCTTGGAAGAGAACGCTGATGGGCTGGGGGTACTCATGCCCTGGGACTACCTGGCAACAGGGTGAGGGACATGCTGCAGCCATAGGCGCCCAGAATGTGCATGGGTGTGACTTCAGGCTGAGGCCAAATTGACTAGGCCCGGGGTAGTAGCAGCTGGATGTGGGCTCTTTCTGACCCACTAGCTGCTTCTAACTAACCCAAAAACCCCCAGAAAAACCTTGGCGGGTCAAGAGATGAAAACGCAGCCCAGAGAATAGCTCCATACTGCCCCCGTGTGGTGTTCTCAAGCACTGCCCCCTCCCTATGCAGAAATCTAAGGCTAACAAGCGGATTTCATTAAAGGTCTGGTTTGTTTTAAACAGATTATCTATGTGTAACTCTCCATTTATACAAGATAAATCAGGGAATTACCATTTGCTGTACAAAATGACGATGCACTTTACTAAAGAATTCATCATGGGATTCCTATAAGTGGTGATTTTTTCCCCGATGTGTAAAAAATAATAATGAGGTAAAATTGATATTACACCTTTTATAGAAACCCATCTGTTGTGCAAAAAAAGCATGTGTATTTGGCTAAATACTGAAACCCGGAGGGGCACTGCTGTTGCCAGGAGCCAGCAGGGGCTTTGAGGGTGCCACCAGCTGCTGGAGGAAAGCAAGGAAATGGGCTGGCCCTGGTGGCTTGAGAGCAGACCTGGGCCAGAGTGCCTAAGAATTAAGAGCAGGACTGGGTAGAGACCACCTACCCACAGGGCAAATCCCCAAGCTCCACCCCCATGGTCAGAGAGTCCCATTGAGAAAATCTGGAGTGGCTTTGAAACAGCCCGGGGGCCGGCAGGAAGGCTCAGCGGAGAACCACACTTTGGGGAACACAGTCCTACACCTCTGCCCTCAGTCCCACTGGAAGCCCCGCCCCCACCCCAAAGACTGAAGCATCACCCAGAACCTGATGGGTGGAGAGAAGGACTGAGCAGGTGACAAGGAGAAGGGTGAGGGGAGCGTGCAGGGAAGCGGTACCGGCTGCCGACGCCGCAGCCTGTCTCTACCGTGGGCACACAAAAGAATCAGGCCGGTGCCCCCTAAGCCTACCTCCCCAGAGGGCATTCGACCCGGGAAGCCTCGCTCCCTGCTAATCATTCTTCCTCGCCCCTTCCAATCCCCGCTACTCGCTTACCTGGTCCCTGCGGGTCCCCCAGGGCCCGCCCCTGCACGCCCCCTCCTCGCCGGGCCTCCCACTCACCTGCGGCTCCGCGCGGGGGCGGTGGGCACCGGCTGGCCCTGGCTCTGTGCCTGGCTCTGCCCGGGCGGGGGCGCTGCTCGCTTGCGGGCGGGCTCCATGCCCGCGGGGGCCAGGCCGGGTCGCACGGCGGGGCTGCCCATGTACGGGGAGCCCGGGGGGCCCATGGGCGCCCCCTGGTGGGGCATCCGGGCTCCAGACGGCATCCCGGGGCGCTGGGGGTGGGCGGGGGTGAAGCAGAAACGGGCGCCCGTGGGTCAGACCAGGGCCCCCCGCTCCAGGCGCGGTGAGCCGGCGTCTCCCCTCCCCCACCAGACCCTCGGCTGGTGACCCTGAGCGTTGAGCGATGGGTGGGAGCGATGGGTAGGAGGGGCAGGGGCGCCGGAATCTGCGCGGCTCTGGCGGAGGGGCTTGGCGTCTGGCTGCAGGAAGCTAACTGAAGCCAGGCACCGCACAGGGCATTGCGAGCCTCGGGGCTGCGGAAGGTACCGCAAAAATGAATATTAATGGCGCCTTTCAACCTTTCAAAGATGTTCACATCCACATGCTCCTCTGCAAGACAGCCTGAGCAGGTCCTTTCATCCCCACTTGACGGATGGGGCCACTGTGGCTCAAGGAGAAAAATGACCTCGCCAAGGTCACACAGCTCATCCTGGCCCAGGCAGCCCCTGAAGGGCTGCCTCCTGGGGGCCCAGGGCTTTGCTCTCTGCGGCTTGGTTGAGGTCCGGTACCCGGCTCCCTGCTCCGACTTCTGCTCCTCCTCCTGCTCCTCCTTCTCAGGCTCCACTTCTTGGGCGGTTCTGCCTGGTACTCACTAGCTCATCTCAGCCACTCTGCTCCCTGTGTCCCTGCTTTTGACCCTTGGGTCCCAAACCCCACTCCCCTCGGCTGACTCCAAGTCCCCACATCCAGGGTCTTCGCTGACCAAGCTGCCCCCATAATTTGCTCCCAGGGTGAGGGCTGGAGGCAGGGCAGGCAAGGGCAGCCTGCTGGGGCGCCCCAGACACAGCCAGGATTCTCTGATTGGGAGGAGGGGAACTGCGTTAGAGGTGGGCTGCCCAGGGGGGCCTGGGGTGGGTCAGGGCAGTGACACTTGCACTCACATTTCCCTTCCTGTCTGCCCAGGTCAGCAGCCACCTCCTCCTCTTCCCATCCCCACCCCAGTGAGGTCAGCAGTCAGGGTTCATGGGGGCTGTGGAGACTGAGAGGAGGCGGCTCCTCCTCCCTTGCCACTACCCCTGGGTGGTCAGATGGGGTGTAAATGAGATGCAAATGCATCGAGCGAAGTGTTCCAAACCCCACTTGTCCAGACTCCAGAAGGGAGATGGGGAGGGCCAGAGAGAGTTTCAGGGGCTGTGAAACAGAAAGAGCGGGGTGGGATGGGGACTGGGACCACGAAAGCAGGAAGAAGATCAGAGGGCAGGGGATGCAGACCCTGGCACTGTTAACATGGACACACCACCCACCTCACCCCCAGGCATGAGGAGGGGCCCCCTTGGGCTTGCTGTTTTCCTTCCAACTGCTACCTCTCCCTCCTGGTCCTCCAGGCTCTGTGTCTAACCCTAATGTCCTCCCACCCTCGGTCAGCAGCTGTCTCTGCCTATCTCTCCTGCAGTGAAACCTGCCTGTCCATGTGTCTGCTTCCCTCACCCCACCTGACCCTGTCACTCAGGCCTCCAGGGTAGCAGCCCAGAATGGAGCCCAGGCCTGGCCACCAGCTAGGTGGGGCACTGGGGCTCACAGCCACTCAAGAACTGAAGCTGTAAGTTGACCAGATTAAAAAAACAGTCCACGTGTACAGCCTCTCCCCACTAGATGGGCCTTTTTAAAGGGGCTCCCACCAGCAGCCAGGTTAGGACTGGTAACTCAGCTAGCTGACATGGACACCTTGGGAAGTTACCCCCAGGGGTCCCTGGGGCTGGAGGACAGGCCACTCCAGGGAGTCCCCCTCTTCCTGTCAGCTGCTCTCCCCAGTTATCAAGGCCAGGGATACTGGCCCATCTGCTGAAGAGGCCCTGAGAGGGAGGCTTTCAGAGCCCCCAGAGAGCTGTGCCCGCCACCAGCCCCATCCCCATGAAAGGCCAAAATCCTAGGGACTCTGGCCTTACTGAGAGGGTGTCTTCCTTGGGGTCACAACCAAATTTGGCCATAGTAAACCCGACAGCTTCCTCTACACAGGGCCTCCACTCCCTCACCCATCCCAAGAGTCGCAGCCCCTGCTTCTCCCATTCCCCACCCCTCCATACCCCTCCCAGCCGGGCCCTACTGACTCAGCTCCAGCCTCCCGGGCTCCCACGTGCCTTCACAGCCTGCCTGTGGCAGGACAGTGCTCCCCTGTCCCTTCGGTCTCTAGGCCTCATGTCCCCAACTCCAGCCCCTTCCTTCACATGTTCGAGGAGTTAAGGACATCAGCTTCTGGTGGCTGAGTCCGCCAAGGAGACCCTCAGAGCCCCTAACTTGGGCTAAGTCCCTAGAGCGGTCCTCTCCCCCACCCTAAGGCAGAAGCTCCAGAGCCCTCCCGCTGGGATGCAGAGGTGGCTCAGCCTGCGAGCTTCCCGCTACAGTGCCTCCAGGGTCACCTGCTCCTTGCTCCGGAGACACAAGCAGTGACACTGTCCCAACGGATGAACAGACAGCCCAGCCCAGCCTCTGCCATGTCCCCATCCCCCACCCCCACCCCCAGGGCAGGGGCAACACCTGGGCCCACAAGGAAAAGAACGAAAGTCAACCTGTCGGCTACAGCGAGGACCCCCTACTTGGGGGGTAGAGTCCCCAAGTCCCACCCCCGCCCCTGACAAGAGCCATGCAAACGCCTCCCTTCCCCGCCTCGCGTCAGACCCGGCCGGCCGCCTGGCGACGTGTTCGGGTGCCAGGGCGCCAGCACAGTCCCGCGGCCGGGCCGTGGGCCATGACGCCCCCCACTAGAGGGGTGGGAGAGCGGGAGCGCCCTCCCGGCCCCTCCCGATCAGCCCTCCATTCAGCCCGAGCCAGCTCGCTTGCCCTCCCCCGCTAACTTTCCCCCACTCACCACCCCATGGACCAGAAACTCAAAAAGTTTGCTTTTCGTGGCTTTGCGCGCCCCTCCGGCAACTTCGTCCGCGGCCATCGGGGTGGGCTCAGCGGCTCCTCTCACTCTCTCTCTCTCTTCCTCTTTCTTTCCCTTTTCTGCCTTTTTTTTTCCTCCAACTCTCCCCTCTGAGTCCTGCTGGGCTCTCTCACACTTCTACTCGAGCGGAGTGGGGAGGGGGCCCCTTCAGGGCTGCCCTGACGGCCCACGGCCCACGCCGCCGCCGCCCGCCCGCCGCCGCCGCCGCCGCCGCGGCTGCCGCATTCCTGCACTGATAAGACAGAAATAGTCCGGCGGCCCGGGGTCTGCCTGTTGACTCGGCGGGGACGGGGCCGCCTGCCTTTCCAAGCCCGCTGTCCAAACAGCGCAGATAAGCGGCGAGGCGCGCCGACCAGCCCGGCCGCGGGCGCTGGGCAGCAGTGCTGCAGCCCGAAGCCGCCGAGGCCCGCGGGAGGCGGCGCGGGGAGGGGACGCCAGGGGAGGCGGCGGGGGGTCGCCGGCCACCGGCTCTCGCCACAAATAGTTTCTCCGTCAGGGAATTCGCCGGCCGCGCCAGGCAGGGAACAGTCAGTTCCAACTTTTCCCCCAGCGGCTCCTGCTGCATTTCTGAGGCCCTTTCCCCAGAGACCTGGCAGGCCGAGCAGGGAAACATTCGCTGGCAGGAACCGGGGGAGCCCGGCCCGCGAGGCCTCGCGCCTGCCCGGGGCCGGCGGCGGTGGGTGTGCCCGGGCGGCGGCGTGGCCCTGCGTCCACTGCTGTGTGTGCCCTTGTCTCACACGCCGTGTGTGTCCGCGCCCTTTTGTGGCGTGGCAGCTTATGTGCGTGCAGACAGACGCCCTGTATGTGTGCCTCCCTCCACGACAGCCTCCGTGCGCGCGCGCCTGCGTGTGTGGCAGGACATGGCCTGTGCCTTTCAGCTCTGTGAGAGGCTATTTCTGGGTATGTGAGTCTTTGTTTGCCGCTCTGTGAGAAAGTGAGGGCAATAGGGGAAGTATTTCAGAAAGAGGGACAGGGATTGTGCTCATGAGAACAGGAAGAGAATGAATGTGGGGAATGGCGCAGCGCCAGGGGGGTGCTCGGGTGGGTGCGTGGAGAGAACGAGGCAAGCTGGGCTTGGTTTCCTTGGGGTGGGGGTGGAGTGGGGTTAGGGGACCCAGAGGAGTTGGGGCAGCTGGGCTGGGTATAGTGGGTATATTGGGCCGGCCTCAAGACCCCAAAGAGAGGGGTCTTGAGGCTGGGGTGTGGCGTGGGGTGGCAAGGGAGCCCCAGAAGGGGCGTGTGGAAGGAGTTGGCAGTCCCTGGAGTGGAGGAGGGACCGGAAGGAGGAGGGGCAAATCCTGACATACCCAGGCAGGGAGTCCTGGGCCTACCCAGGTCCCCAAAGGCCACGCCCCTTTTTTCTCCTTCTTGGGGAGGAGCCGTGGGCTTTGGAACAAGGCCCTTGGGTCAAGTTTGGGGGTCTGCTGGGGCCTCACTGTGAGAATCCAGGTGAGGGCAGGACCATAGCCTAGTGCCTAGGGGAGTTTGTTGAAACACTTACTTGAAGTTGGGCCCTGAAGACTGAAGGGTACTGACCCTAAACCCTTCAGAATGCCTTTGCCCAGGGGGTCCTTTCTGCCTGCAGCCTGATTTCTGCTGGCCCTGGTTGTGCTCTTGGCTGTCACTGTTCATTTAGGTGCCCACTGTCAATCTGAAATGTCAGGGAGGACATCTGGTCCAGGTTGCTCCTCCACCACCCCTAGCTTGAAAGGGGACCTAGAGATCCCCTTGCTACCAAATCTCTCCCAGGGCTTTAGCCTAGACTACCCCCCACACACCCCCACACACAGAGCCTGGGCCCTGACACGGTGGGGATGGGTGGGTGGCCTGCCTCTGTCTGCCATAGGTCATGCTGCTGGGAACCTGGGGAAGTGACTTGCCCAGTCTGCCTGCTAACCTCCAGAATCCCCGCTCACTCCCATTTCTTAGCCCCTGCCCCCGATTCTTTTACCTGGAATGCCCTTTGCCTGCCCTCTGCCTTCCCTCTGCTTGTCCAAATCACACCTATTCTTTAAAGCCCAGCCCAGGCCCCACTTCCTCCAGGAAGCCTTCCTTCGTCCTACTTGTATGCAAAGATTTTTCTCTTCTCCAAATGCTCATTGCCATCTACCCAGCACCATGAATTGGCATTGGACTGGCCTGACGTGCACTGTGCTTCAAGGACATTAGCTTTGCTTTCCCAGAGAGGCTAAGGTCCCCATAAGGTCAGAGACTGATCTTTAACTCCCACTCTTCCTCCATGCCTGGGCACAGGAACTCAACAGTACCCCAGATACCTGATGCTTGCAAAGCTTAATGAGCCAATGCATGGAGCTGGTACTCTGCCATTTACCTGATGGTGTGAGTTACCATGGGCACCCCCACCCACCATGGGTGCGTCTAGCAGGGGCATGGGAAACCACAGGCCTTGGAGGTTCTGGGGGTTGGAGATAGACACCCCTAGGCTTTGTTAAAGCTCAGTGTTCTCAACTATTGGAGAGACCTTTTGGGAAAAGAAGACAGCAGAGGAGATGCTGGGCACTCCAGTTTGGGTAGCTGGGAAGTTTGAGGCAGGGCCTGGGAGATCCCGGGCTTGGTCTTGGTGGTGGAAGAGGTTGCGGGAGGTAGTTAGACGAGGGGCTATGGTGAAGCCCCTGTGGAGGAGCTGGTGAGCTTCACCCAAGTCCATACATAAGCGCTCTCCTGAGCCACCCCTCTGGGAGACATCCTTAAGTGTACACAGACAATAGATACACCTTGCACACACACCCTCCCAACACACACACAGCAGGCACACCAATACAAGCACCAAAAGGTCGAGGAAGCCACATGGCTCTGCACACACAGGCACACCTTGAGCACCTCCACATCCCGTGGTGGGCCCCATTCACAAGGCAGGCCCAGACACATTTGCGTACTGCTTTTAGGTGGGCGACAGGAGGAGCCTTCAGACCAGAAAGCTGGGGCGGCGCCAGTGTGGGGGCCCGGGCCAGGGCTCCCTCCTCACAAAGGCCAGGATCCCCAGTGGCTTAACCCCAGAAGGGCGCTCGGTGTGCCACGCCGCCGATGGCTCCTGCGGGTGGGAAGGAGGCCCGGGAAGAGCGTGGATTCCTCCCAGCGCAATAGGGCGCCCGCCGCACTTGGGGCAGGCCGTGCGCCTGTCGGGGGCGAGGGCGGCCGCCCGGCGCCCGGCGCCGCAGTCCCCCCTGCCGTCCCCCCATCGCTCCTTCCCTCGCTGAAGCACCACCAGCACCAAATGGCAAAGCGCCGCTCCCCGCGCAGGGAGAGATGCGCCGCGGCCTGCGGGACGGGCTCGGCCGCCTCGCCCCCACCGCGCCCGAGCGAGCGGGCGGCGGCCGGGGAGCTGGGGGGGCTCGGGCCGGCCCGGCCCGCGCCGCCCCTCCCTCCGCCCGCGCCGGTCCCCGGCCTGGGCATGCGCGCCGCGGCCTCCCTCCCGGTGAAGGTCAGCCCGGGGCCCAGCTGCAGGACTCCGCGGCGGCCGGGGAGGCGGCGGAGGGAGGAGGGATGCGGGGAAGAGACTTAACTCCTTCCCTGCGGGAAGATGGCCACCTAGGCCGGGCCCCAGCCGCAGTCCCGCCCTCCTGCCCTCCGTGAAGGTCCCACCACGGGGACTCCGCTCGGGGGGCGCGGCAGGAGGAGCAGGAGAGCGGGGAACATGGAAGAAGGGGCTGGAAGGAGAGAAGAGAAGCTGGCGAGGGGATAGGGAGGAAGGGAAGGGAGGAACAAAGGAAGCGAGACTGGAGGGAGAACGGATTGCTTGGGAGAGAGCTCTTTCCTCTATTCCCTTTTCCCTACACCCCCAGCAATAAAGCTCTCCTTAGGAGAATACGATCACCCTCACTGGGGCGGCCTGAGTGAGTGTG
This sequence comes from Homo sapiens, assembly GCF_000001405.40. Lineage (NCBI taxonomy): Eukaryota > Metazoa > Chordata > Mammalia > Primates > Hominidae > Homo > Homo sapiens. Next base: position 151,252,426 of record NC_000007.14, read on the forward strand.
TGTGTGTGTGTGTGTGAGAGAGAGAGAGAGCGAGAGAACGCGAGAGGAGAGGGAGAGAGAGAAAGAAAGAGAGAGGGAGAAAGTGAGACCACTTGGCGCTGTGAGGACCACAAAGCCTTGGTTTCGGTGTTCTGGCCATCTCTAAACCAGGCCCCACTTTCCGCCATCCAGCCTACCTGCCCGGGCTAAGCACCAGCCTCGGGGGACCTCTGGCTAGTCCTTGGGGTCACGCCCAGCTCCAGAGAGGGAGGAGGGGAGACTACCTCAACCCCCGCCTCTGGTGACGGTCAGCAGAGGGGACGCTCCGAAGCCAGGCCAGGGGCATCAGGCACCTTCCTCCTCCTCCTCCTGGCTGCCCCCATGCTGCTTCCAGGCCAGGGCAGCTGTGCGCTTCCCTGTTTGTGTTGGGATGTTTCTGTACCCCCGACACTCTCTGCTGCTATCAAGGGGGCTGTCTCTCTGTGTGACTTTGTCTTTCTGTGTCACTTTTGCAAACATACACGAAAGAGACAAATGCAATATATAGAAGCAAAAAACAAAGAAAAACTAGGACACCAAAATAATGGTGCGACCTTGGGCAAGTCGCTGTACCTCCCTGTCCCTCAGTGTCCTCAGAAGTGAAAGGAGAGGCTTAAGTCAGAGCATTCCTAGAGCCCTTCCAGCTCTGAAATCCAAGAATTTCCTAAGACAGAGGCAGGAACCAAGGCAGACTGGGAGGAAGGAGGGGGACAGAGGGAGGGAGCAGAGCGACGGAGCTGTGCCGGGAAGCAGACCCGCACCGAGTGAGTGGGGGCTGCTCACCATGAGTGAGGCCTGGTCCCAGCTCAGCACCCCCTCCTCTATGGGGTCCTCAGGGACGCGGCCCTCCCACTCACTCCCTCCGTCCTCCCCTCAGAGTAGCTCTCTCTGGGTGGCTCTGCCCCTGTCACGCACACCTGGCTGAGCCCTCACCCCTACACCTTCAGCATCCAGACAGCAGGGTGGGCCTTACCTTGGGGTCCCCAGGGTCCTGTGTGGCAGGCAGGTGCATGCGAAGGTTAGTGGAATGAATGAGGCCTCCTTCCTCTCTTTGCCTGCGTGGGATTCCTCAGTCTAATGGGATGCTCCTTGACACCCCTCCCACCACACACAACACAATAAACTGCTGGTGGCAGGAGAGCGGGGCTGGGCGCTGGGATCTGAGCATCCCGCTGGCCACAGGGAAGGCACATTTTGGATTCACAGCAGGTTTTCTCTTACTCCCCATTAATGAGGTGGTCGCTTGTAGCAGGTCACACACCCCATAAAAACGTGCCACACAGGCCTGGTCCCCATTTCTGCACGGACAGGGCTGGGCTGTGGGATGGTGTTTACATGGGATCCTGAGGGGTGCTATAACTTCTCTCCCACCTTCCAGGGTGTGGCTCTGCTGGCGGGCAATAGGGCCACGTCCAGGGACCCTGAATTGGGCAGTGCCCTGACCTGCTGGCTGTATGGCCCTGGAGGGAGGGATGGGTCACTCAGAACCATCCTCACTCTCCTCTCCTCTCCCTCCGGATCAACACCTGGCACATCTGGCCAGATTCAGTGGCTTAGATGTGGCTGAAACCCAGGGCAAACACAAGGGGATCGCATGGCCTCGGGACTCATAGGGTGGTTGAGACTCCAAACAGTAGCCAGTCTTTCCCTCTCCTCCTCCCAGGTGTGTGGGAGCCATCTCTGGCTCCACTGGCCTCCTGGTTAACAGGCAGCCAGGGCTGGGAAGCCCACCCATCCCCATAATATCCCCTGGCTCTGCTAAGGCCCCACTCCTGCCCTGCCCCAGCCGTGTCCCAAATGCCTGAGGTGCCAGGGGAGTCACCCAGTGCATGTCTGAGACATCCTACCTACCTTCCCATCTCTCTACAGATGCTGGCTGCATCCAGATGTTGGCTGCCAGGGATCTGGGGGGCAGCCTTGTGGCTTCTGGTCGACTTGGGATCTGCTCATGTCGGGCCATGTGGCCCGGGGAATGCCGTTTCCTCCCTGGAGCTCTGTCCTCATCTGTGACATGAGGGTGCTGCTGCCTTCCCTCCAACCTCTGCCTCTGGAAATGCTGGCAAGGCACAGAGTGCTGCCCGCTTCACCAGGGCTTTGGGCCAGCGCCCTGCCTCTTCCACCCTGCCTGGTGTGGGGAGGCCTTTGGCCACCCTGCTAGCTGTCTCCACGTGTGTCCTGTGTTCCCCAGGCCCCAGCCCTCCTCTTTCTTAGTGAGGGGAGCCCCATTCTGGTACCTCCAATTCTCCTCTCTGTCTTTTGCAGCTAATAGCTCCCCATGACAGTGTCAGGGCAATCCTAGTGGCCCAGCGTCCTGCCCCTCACCTCGGGAAGCTTCTGAGGACTTGTGAGGCAGGAACGGGCCTCAGCTACTGCTCTGAACAGGTGTTTAGGGGGATTCCTGCCAATCACTGCATTCTGGGGTCTGGGTGTCACCGGAGTGAAGAGAAGTGAATAGTTAACAAAAAGTCCATCTGCATTTCTAAACAAATTTTTGGGAATATTAAATCAAATGGCAGCGGGCAGTGGGATGTGTAAATAAAACCCCCGTGGAAGTGCTGCGCGGACTCGTCGCCCGGCTGTCCTTGCAGGTCTGACACTGCACCTTCCACTCTGCACCACGGGGCCAGGGGAGCCCTCGACCTGCCCTCGGCCTTGAGGGCACCAGGTTCAATCTCATGCTGCCCTTTATCCCCAATTGCATCAGTCACCACAGAAAGCCCCAGACCCCCTCAACTCCTGCACTTTGAGCCCCACAAGGCCCTAGACCCTCCTACAGTTGCCATCTCTCCCCAGCCCCTGAAACCCTCCTACTGTGTTGTCTGTCCTAAGGAACATTTCCAACATGCTCCACCTCTTCTGGAAGCATCCTCTTTGCCTTCCAGAAGCAGATGCCAGGCTCCCTTCCAGCAGTGGCTCGACCACTGGCCTAAGGGTGGGTATGGCCCCCCATTGCCCCTCACTGCTGTTTCCAGAGCCCTGGCTCTGCATCTTACCCCCAGCTAGGGAGGCTTCCTTTGTGCGGATTCTGGCTCCTGGCTCATGTCACTCTCCGGAGCACCACTCCTGTCCAGCCTGCTGCATGCTCTTCCAGACATCTCTGGCCTCTCCATTCCTTGGCAGCTCCTCTTCCAGCGATCCTCCCTGTTCCCTCAGCCATGCACTCCCAAGGTCATCTCTTAGATCACTGCAGCAACCGCAGCCCCCCACTTTCAGTCCCATGCACCCTACTCGCTGACCACCGTCTCCTCTTTTTCCTCTTTCCAGTTCACCCTGTCCAGCTCCCTGACCTCCAAATCCTGCGACTCCTCTGGAACCTCTGCTTCATTTCACCACTCTGCACCCCTCCCCACAGCTACCCCTTGCTCTTACACATTGAATCTCCTGGTTGTTTTGACGGTGACACATAACACAATTGACCATTTTAACCTCCCTTGCATGTACTTTTTTTTTTTTTTGAGACAGAGTCTTGCTCTGTCACTCAGGCTGGAGTGCAGTGGCGCGATCTCGGCTCACTGCAACCTCCGCCTCCCAGGTTCAAGCAATTCTCCTGCCTCAGCCTCCCAAGTAGCTGGGACTACAGGTGCCTGCCACCATACCCAGCTAATTTTTTGTATTTTAGTAGAGACGGGGTTTCACCGTGTTGCCCAGGCTGGTCTCAAACTTCCTGACCTCAGACAATCTGCCTGCCTCGGCCTCCTGAAGTGCTGGGATTACAGGCATGAGCCACTGCGCCTGGCTTTTTTTTTTTTTATTTTTGAAACAGAGTGTCGCCCTGTTGCCCAGGTGGCGCGATCTCAGCTCACTGCAACCTCTGCCTCCTGGGCTCAAGCAATTCTTGTGCCTCGGCCTCCTGAATAGCTGGGACCACAGGTGCACACCACCATGCCTAGCTACTTTTTGTATTTTTAGTAGAGACAGGGTTTCACCATGTTGGCCAGGCTGGTCTCGAACTCCTGACCTCAAGTGATCTACCCACCTTGGCCTCCTGAAGTGCTGGGATTACAGGCATAAGCCACTGCACCTGACCCCTTGTGTACACTCTTGACTCTCTTAAGAGGTAAATCCAGCTTCACCAGCTCCTCCCCTGCAACCACGCACCTGAATGTGGCCAGAGAAAGACACACAGCCACCCCACCCGGTCTCATTGTGGATTCGGCACGAGCTCAGCTGGCATCGTGCTGCCCGGCAGGCCACTCTTCTCACAGCACAGTCACAAATATGCCCGCTCCCACACCCCGACAGGAGTTTTTTGCAGCTTCTCCCTCCTCTGACTTCCAACCTCTCCTCCATCCTCCTCACTCCCAGCTTGTGCCCGTTTTCCCCTTCACTGAGAAAAAAGAAGCTTCCGAAGAACTTCCAGAGCCTCCCACCACACCCTCTGCCTGCCAGCAGCTGATCCCGTTCCTCCAGATGAGCTATCTGTGTTCCCGACTACAGCCAGCCGTGCCTCCGTGTGCCAGCTCCGTCCCTCCTCCACACCAAGGACACTGCTCCAGCAATTCTCTCCCACACCATCATTTCATCAACATTCCCCTCTTCCCTGGAGTTCCCCCAGCAGCATGCACAAGTACTGTTACATCCCCATTGGAATAAGCGCTCTTCTTTCATTTTTTATTACTTTTTAAAAAATAGAGGCAAAATCTCACTATGTTGCTTGGGCTGGTCTCAAACTCCCGGGCTCAAGTGATCCTCCCGCCTCAGCCTCCCAAACTGCTGGCATTTTAGGCGTGAGCCCCTGCACCCGGCCTCCTGAAACAATCTCTCTTAACCCTACTTATCCTACAGGTTGCTGCCCAGTAGCAACAAAACTTCTGAAAAGAGTTGTCTCATTTGTGCTCCTCCATTCTCCCTGAATCCCAATCCTGTCAGATGCAGCTCCCGCTGCTCCACTGAAATGCTCCTGGCAGGGCCACCGGTAGCCTCCACATTGGCAAATGCTGCCGTCAGTTCTTAATCTACTGCAAACTCCGCCTCCTGGGTTCAAGCGATTCTCCTGCCTCAGCCTCCTGAGTAGCTGGGACTACAGGCACCCGCCACCACACCCAGCTAATTTTTGTATTTTTAGTAGAGATGGGGTTTCACCATATTGGCCAGGCTGGTCTCGAACTCCTGACCTTGTGATCCGCCTGCCTTGGCCTCCCAAAGTGCTGGGATTACAGGTGTGAGCCACTGCACCCGGCAAAGTCATAACACTCTGTCCTCTTTCAATTATTTCCTCCCGTGGAGGGAGGACACTTTCCCCTCTTGGCTGACCTCTTGCCTCCCGGGTTGCTCCTTCTGAGTCCCCGGGGACCATCCAGTTCTCCTTCCCTCTCCATGCAGGAGCGCCAGGACTCAGGCCTGGGTCCTCCTCACCTCTCCACGCTCACTTCCTCGGAGATCTCATCATTTTTGCGGTCTCATCACATCCAGCACCACCCGTATGTCGGCAGCTCCCAGTTTCCTCCAGCCCGGTCCTCTCTCCCAGTCCTTGGACGCATCTATCCAATCACCTATTTGGCATTTCCACCTGGGTCTTCAGTGGACAGCTCAAACATGGTCGGTCCAAAATGAGCTCCTGCTCTTTTGCCTCAAACCCCATCCTCCGCCCAGTCTTCTCCCTCCTTCCAGCTGCCCAGGCCCACACCTTGGAACACCCTGGACCCCTGCCTTTCCCTCACACCCTACATCCACTCTGAAGGCACATCCTATTGGCTCTGGACCCAGCAGCCCACTGCTTCTCACCTCTCCCCGGATGCCGCCCGAGATCCAAACCACAGCTACTGGGTAGCCTGCTTCCAGCCTCACCCCAACAGTCTGTTCTCAACATGGCAACAGGTTCTTTAAAAAGGGAGTCAGGGCCGGGCGCAGTGGCTCACACTTGGAATCCCAGCACTTTGAGGGGCCAGAGGCAGGTGGATCATTTGAGGTCAGGAGTTCGAGAGCAGCCTGGCCAACATGGTGAAACCCCGTCTCTACTAAAAATACAAAAATTAGCCGGGTGTGGTGGCATGCAACTGTAATCCCAGCTACTTGGGAGGCTGAGGCAGGAGAATCGCTTGAATCCAGGAGGCAGAGGTTGCAGTGAGCCAAGATTTCGCCACTGCACTCCAGCCTGGGCAACAGAGTGAGACTCTGCCTAAAAAAAAAAAAAAAAAGAAAAAGAAAAAGAAAAAGGGAGTCAGATTATGGCATTGCTCTGCTCTAAACCCTCCAGGCCTTCCATCTTATTCCGAGCAAGGGCCAAGGTCCTGAAGGTCCTGCAGGATCTGGTCTCATCCTTACTCCCTGTCCCCTCTGCTCTCACCTCTTGCTATCTCCCCCGCCACCTTCTCTCTGCCCTGGCTTCTGGGCTCCCTGTGGTGCTTTGGAAACTCCAGGTCCGTGCCAGCCCAGGATGCTCTTCCTCTGGCAATCTACATGGCGGACTCCTCACCTCCCAAAAGCCTTTGTTCACATGTCTCCTTCTCAATGAGGCACAGTCTGTCTCCCTGATTAAAAACTGCAAGCCCTCTCCCTCCACACGCCCATTTCTTTTATTCCCCTCCACTTTCCCTACAGGACCCTACCCTTCCACCCTTCTATATCATCTACTCCCTTACATTGATGCCTAACTTTTCTTTTTCTCCATTAGAACGTAAGCTCCAGGCCGGGTGCAGTGGCTCACACTTGTAATCCCAACACTTTGGGAAGCTAAGGTGGGTAGATCACCTGAGGTCAGGAGTTCGAGACCAGCCTGGCCAACATGGTGAAACCCCGTCTCTACTAAAAATACAAAAATTAGCTGGGCGTGGTGGCGGGCACCTGTAGTCCCAGCTACTCGGGAGGCTGAGGCAGGAGAATTGCTTGAACCTGGGAGGCAGAGGTTGCGGTGAGCTGAGATCACACCACTGCACTCCAGCCTAGGTGACAGAGAGAGACTCTGTCTCAAAAAAAAAAAAAAAGAATGTAAGCTCCAAAAAGGTAGGGGCTGTGTGTGTGTGTGTGTATGTGTGTGTGTGTGTGTTTCTAAAGGAGGCAGGGCTTTTTATCTGTTTTCTTCACTGCTAAATCCCAAGTACCTGGCACATGGCAGAACCTCCAACATGTGATGGGTGGAGGTGAAGAGAGCCCACTCCAAGCCCGTTCAGGATCTTCAGCACGGATTTCCAAATGCCAGCTGAGGTTACAACCTGAGAGTTTTTTTTTTTTTTTTTTTTTTTTTGAGACGGACTTTCACTCTTGTCACCCAGGCTGGAGTGCAATGGCATGATCTTGGCTCACTGCAACCTCTGCCTCCTGGATTCAAGCGATCCTCCTGCCTCAGCCTCCCAAGTAGCTGGGATTACAGGCATGCACCACCATGCCCAGCTAATTTTTGTGTTTTTAGTAGAGACGGGGTTTCACCATGTTGGCCAGGCTGGTTTTGAACTCCTGACCTCACATGATCCACCCACCTTGGCCTCCCAAAGTGCTGGGATTACAGGCGTGAGCCACCACGCCTGGCCAAGACTTGTTATCATAGGAGTAATAACATCGGCTTAGATTTGTATAGGACTTTACCATTGACCAAGCACTTCCACACACAGTAACCTGTCTGATCCCAACAGATAAGCCTATCAGGTTCCTGGCAGGGTCCCCATTATAAAGATAATGAAAATGAGGCTCTAAGAAGTTGTGTGACTTGCCAAAATTCACTGTGCTATCACAGGGTGGGGCTAGGATTGCAAATCAGGTTTCCTGTCCTCAAGGTCCCTGGGTTTTCTCCTTTACCCCAAGCTGCCTCCCCAGTGTCCCCGTGCTAAAGCTTGCCTGCTGGGGGTAGTGACAGACTAACCAACACACGCACCCCACCTTCCCCAAACACCTGCCTTTTAAAGAAGGAAATCAAGATCCCTGGAAGCCTGCAGAGCTAAGCTGAATTACCCTTAATTATCGTTTTAAACACACCCCTCAAAATCTCAAGCTGATTGTTCGAAACATTGGGAATACAAATTCTAGAAAATGTGCTACTACCAAGGTGTCTGAAATAAATTTCAAATTTGAGAAGGTTCCCTTTGTTACTGTGGAAATATTACTTTTTAGCCAAAAACAAGAAAAAAAAATGAATGCTAGTTAAACTTGGAACAAGCCCCTTGCTCCTCTGGCTTCTGTGGTCCTCACAACCAAGTGTAACTCCTGTGCGACGTACACACCTGAATCCCATGGTGACACGCCACCCCGCCCCCTACCTGGACCTCAGTCGGCTATCCTTTGGGAACATGTCGTTACCCCGACATAGCCAAGCGGTGCCCTCGGACAGCCCCCTACCACCTCACCTTGCCTTCCTGGTGCCACTTGGTGCTAGGTTTGGAGAACTTGGAGGATCCAACTGGCCCTTAAGAGGGGTAGGAGAAGCGATGAGAACAGCAACAGGCTCTGTCTAGGCTGAGTGGACCACCAATTTCTTGGAGAACCAGGCAAACGTAAGTGGGATTGAGAAAGAGATGGGGCTTGTGAGGCTTGTTCATGACCAAGGACTTCACAGTAAGCTCAGCATCTTGCCGTCCCCACACAGCACACTAGTAACTCAGCAGACTTTACTCTGGGGCTCAAATGGCTACAGTGGCACCAAGAAGCCTCATGAAGACTCACCAAGGGGTGGGCGGTGGGGAGGCGGCAGATGTTGGGGCGCGCTCTCGGCAAATCCTTGTAACTAAGGCTGGCTGTGCTCTCTACCCCTGCCTGAACCCACTGCCCTGGGCAGGGTCTCTGCAGTCCACGGTGTGATGGCTCCTAGCCTGGATTCTAGAACAGGGTTTCTCCAGTTGGCACTGCTGACATCTCAGGCTGGACGATTCTTTACTGTGGGAGCTGCCTTGCACACTGTATGATGTCAGGAGCATCCTTGGCCTCTATCCTCTACCCAGTGTGGCAAACAAAGTATCTCTAGACATTGACCCTTGTCCCTGGAGGGTGAAATTGCCCCAGGGTTGAGAACCACAGCCCTTGAGTCAATTGGTTCTGGGTTCAAACCCCACCCAGCCACTGAGTGACCATAACCCTGATCATGTTACCTGACCTGTCTGAGCCTCAATTTCCCCATCTGCAAAACTGGGGGTCCCTCACGTGATGCATGGGTGGATGTGAAGATTAAAATGTGGTTGAGCATGTGCAGAATTCAGCACAGTGCCTGGCACAGGGTCAACACTTAACGAGCAGCAGCTGTTAACATCAGCTTCCCAGTGGTCCTGCCTGCCTGTCTCACAGCCTGGATTCCCTGTGGCCTTGGCTGCTGCTCATCTGCCTTATCTCCCGGACTTGGATGATCCTGCTGCCAAACAACCCCCAGCTAGGGTGGGGCGCAGTGGAACCAGGGAGCTCTCAGAGCCCTTCAGCGGCAGGCTCATCACAAATGGCATGACGGGTACAAGCGAGGGCCGAGCTGCTGCTCTTAGAAGCCAGCCAGGTGATCATTCACAGTGGCTAATTACGGTGGCTCTGGGAGCCCTGCGGGAAGTGTGGGGTCTACTCAAGCCACTGGACGCTTCCTTGGGCAGAGAGCAGCCACAAGTGTTGTTAGCATGCAGGGGTCATGCTGTGGGAAGCCTGTGGCCCCGCAACTGAGCTGTGGGGGCTGCAGCTTGGGCTGCAGGACAGGAGGGAGACATTCAGAAGCCACCACATGTAGCACATCCACTGCACTTCAACCTTTTTTTTTTTTTGAGACAGGGTTTTGCTCTGTCGTCTAGACTGTAGTGCAGTGGTGTGATCACAGCTCACTGGACCTCCTGGGCTCAAGCTATCTTCCCACCTCACCCTCCTGAGTAGCTGGGACTACAGGCACATGCCACCATGCCCGGCCAATTTTTAAATTTTTTTGTAGAGACAAGGTCTTGCTACATTGCTCAGGCTGATCACCAACTCCTGGGCTCAAGGAATCCTCTCACCTTGGCCACTCAGAGTGTTGGGATTACAGGCGTGAGCCACCATGCCCAGCTTTGGGACTTAAATTTAAAAAGACTTTGTAAGGCCAGTTATTGGCCTAGAAAAGCTGAGGTTTGGGAACTGCTGGTAACGGCATCCAAAGAAAAGTAGGGCCTCCTCCCACCCCATGTGCTCCTCTGCCTTCTGTCCTCTACACGTTTAGTGAGCACCTCTTTTGGGGCAGCTCCTGGGAAGTACTGCCCATTTACACCCATGACATGGCCTTTGCCCTTGAGACCTGGTGGTCATCGAGAAAGACAAGATGGATAGAGGGCTTTGTGCCAGGTGTGTCCTTAGGGCCCCGCGGGAGCAGGGAGGAGGGGCCCCTAACAGGGTGGGGCAGGGCTACCCCAACAGGTGTCTCAGAGTAGCGACACCTAAGCAAGACCCTGAGCACAGCCAGGGAAAGCCCCAACTGGGTGGGATGCCCAAGGCTGGCATGGGGTGCTGTGGGTCTCAGGGGCTGTGCCTCCTTGGGCTCCTCTGTGAAGGTCAGGGGAGAGGCACCCAAGACTCATGCTTTATCTTGGCGAGAGTCATGAATAGTGGAAAGGGCAGGACAGGTGCCCTGCAGAGCCCAGCAGGCTAAAACTAGTAACAGGGAAGCCAGCACACACAACTCTTACTGGGAGCAGCCACTGTTTGTTCTGAGCTCAATTAATGTTCACAGTCACCCTACCTTGCGAGTAAAATCCTTAACCCACCTTATAAGTGGGGAAACTGAGGCCTAAGGAAGCAAAGTGACTGGTGTAAGGTTGCAGAGCTAGTAGGGGTAGAGCTGGGATTTTCATCCAGGTAGCCTGTGTCTAGACTAGATCCTAGCCCAGAGACTGTGGGCAGACTTGATGGGAAGAAGTGGAATGTGCCAGACACTCCTGCTAAATGTTTTTTTTTTAATTAAAAAAATGCCAAGGGGTGTTCTGAGGGATCTAAATCAAGGCCGAAGCTGTAACCACAACTTCAAACCTGGAAGGCAGCTGGGGAGGTTGGGGAGAGAGAGGCAGGATGTCCATGTGTCCACCAAGGCCCTACCACTTTCACCAAGGGGGCCTCCTCACCAGCCTCAAAGCCCTGTCTTTGCCCTCCCCAGGTTCCACCTTGGAGAATGTCCCTCTTATCCCTCCAAACCTCAATCCTGCCCATCTACATCGCCATATCTTTCAAGCCATCCAATTCCCTCAGCCCAGCTCCAGGGTCTGGCCATTTTCCATGCTGTTCCATGGTTGTTATTATGAACATCTTCTTCTCCCTTGGCCCTCCTATTTAATCCATAGGCAAATTTTATTGGTTTCACCATTTTCTGATCTCTCAGGCCCACTGGTCTCTGCATTTTTTTCTGTCATCACCCTGGACCAGGCCGGCACCATCTTTCTTCTGCACTGATCGTCCCATTTCTCCATTCTGTCTCTCTCTACGGCATGGCCAGAGTGATCTTTTAAAAAATGCAATGAGGACCATAGTACATCCTTGCTTAAGATCTGACAATGGTTTCACAGCTCTGACAGAATCCAAATTCCTTGCCAGGGCTCACAGGGGTGACTCCACCTTGTGGGTGCCTTCAGCTCCACCAGTCCCTATCTGGTCCTCAAACTCATTGGGTCCCTGCCCACCTCAGGACCTCTGCACCTGCCATTCTCTTGACCTGCAATGATCAGCCACTGGGTCTGAAGGTCAGGTTCCTGAAGACAGGATTTTTTTTTTTTTTTTTTGAGACATAGTCTCACTCTGTCACCCAGGCTGGAGTGCAGTGGCGTGACCTTGGCTCACTGCAACCTCTGCCTCCCGGGTTCAAGCGATTCTCCTGCCTCAGCCTCCCAAGTAGCTGGGACTACAGGTGCCTGCCACCACACCTGGCTAATTTTTATATTTTTAGTAGAGACAGGGTTTTGCCATGTTGGCCAGGCTGGTCTCAAACTCCTGACATCAAGTGATCTGCCTGCCTCAGCCTCCCAAGGTGCTGGGATTACAGGTGTGAGCCACTGCACCCGGTCAAAGTCAGGATTTTGCCCCAAAACAGAGAGGAGCTAATGTCAGCTCCTGCCTTGGAAAGTGCCCCAGGATGGCAGTGGCTTTTGGCACAGGGTGTGGGAAGAGGAGAGCATGATTGTAGGCCATCCCGAAGCCCAGGGTGAGTGCTGTGAAGATGGTCTCACACAAGAAGCCACCATACCAGGCCAGGTCAGCACCTGGGGTAGGAACTGTGGGAGTTCCTCTGGAGGACGGAGGCAATCACCCCCTGAAGACCTAACTCCTCAGCAGGCCACCTCCTTCTCCCTGATGCAGAGGTGAGGAGGTAAATGGTGGGATCCATGGAGTTCTGGGGAGCCCAGTGGAGCTGGGCCCAAGCCTCTGCTGGAGGCAGTGTTGGCAGCCAGCATGGGGCAGAAGCAGTGGTGGTGGCGGTGGAGGGGGAGCAGACCGTGGGGCCAGGCCCGGGACTAGCTGGGAAGCTGGCATACTAACTGCCCAGGGTAACTGCCAGAAGGGGAGGCTGGAGGCTGCCCTGTGGCTCTTCATGGAGCCAGGTGGGGAATTAGTGTTCTAGCAGCCCAGGGGCCCAAGGACTGGACAGTGGCAGGGAGTCGACCTGTCCCTCAGGGCGTTGGCTCTTCCTGTGATGGGGATAGCCCAGGGTTTTGAATGCCTGTCAGCTCCCTGAGGCTCTGACCATCTCGCTCCTCTGTTAGACACATCTCCAAATTCTGAAGGCACCTGTCAGAGTCCCCCTGCTATGGGTTGAACTGTGTCCCCCAAAATTCATATGTTGGAGTCCTAACCCCTAATATATCAGAATGTGACCTTATTTGGAGAGAGGGTCCTCAAACAGGTAATCAATTTAAAATGAGGTCATTAGGGTGGGCCCTCATCCAATAGGACTGGTGTCCTTACAAGAAAGGGAAATTTGGGCACAGAGACTTGCACAGAGAGATGATGATGTAAAGAGACAGAGGGAGAGGATGCTCAACTTCTAGCCAAGGAGAGAGGCCTGAGACAGATCCCTCCCTCACAGCCTTCAGAAGGAACCAACCCCGCTGACACCTTGATTTCAGACTTCCAGCCTCCGACACTGGGACCAGGAATCTCTGTTGTTTAAGCTGCCAGGTCTGCGGTCCTTTGTTGGGGTGGCCCTAGTGACCCAACACCCCCACAGCTCTGCTCTTCAGGACTCCCAGGGCGGTCATCACGAGACCTGCCTGCTAGTCCACCTACCACCTGGGCCTCCCCTTGGAACATCCTCTGGTTTGCCCGATGAAAGCAAGGCCTCCAAGCAGGGTGCAAAGCACAGGGCAGAACCCAGGTCAGAAGGCCTGAGTTTGAGCCTTTATTCCATCATCCATTGACAGGAGGATAAAAGTGCCAAGTCACCGTTAACCTCTCTGATCTCGGTCTCCTCATCAGTGGGTATTTATCATCTTACCTCTCTCACTGGGTTATTGTGAATAGCAAAATAGTAATGATTTGCCATATGTGAAAATTCTCTTTAAGTCACAGAGTACTGAGTAAAGTCATCATGGCCATTAATTTATCACTCTTTGGTAATCACCCGTTGCACTGTGGAGTTGAATTGACCTTATTGTCAATTTAACCTCAATTTTTTCTTTTCTTTTCTTTCTTTCTTTGATACGGAGTCTCACTCTGTTGCCCAGGCTGGAGTGCAGTGGCGTGATCTCGGCTCACGGCAATCTCCACCTCCTGGTTTCAAGCGATTCTCATGCCTCCGCCTCCTGAGTAGCTGGGATTACAGGCACGTGCCACCAGGCCCAGCTAATTTTTATATTTTTAGTAGAGACAGTGTTTCACCATGTTGGCCAGGCTGGTCTCAAATTCCTGACCTCAAATGATCCACCCACCTCAGCCTCCCAAAGTGCTGGGATTGCAGGCGTGAGCCACCGCACCCGGCCATTTTTTTTTTTCTACTCTACGCAAAACATGTCTCCCTATCCCCTACTTGTAAAGTTGTCTTTTTGTCTCAAGAATGGACACAGAACATTTACTCCTGTTAATATTCATCTTCTAAGAATTAGCCCATAATTTCTAGAAGGTGAATGTTGACAGCTTTTGAATATTAATTCTGTTATCCAAAATATTCACCATCTTTTCTGGCTGTGTGTTATTTACAAATCCAGTGAGTGTGACCATCGATCTGCATCTATATCTTTGCTGAATGTATTGAGAAAGGGACAGGAAGCAAGACAAGGCTCTCTCTCTCCAGACTAATGTACACCCTTTGGGGCTTCGTCTTTCTTCAATTCTTAGCAAATTTGCCCAATTATCGTAACATCCAGCCGGCAATGTGCTAGTGTGTCATGTCAGCGGCTTAACATCAGCCAATATGGGAGGTTTTTTTTGTTTGTTTGTTTTTTGAGATAGGGTCTGGCTATCGCCTAGGCTGGAGTACAGTGGTGTGATCATGGCTTATTACAGCATGGACCTCCTGGGCTCAAGCCATCTTCCTGCCTCAGCCTCCTGAGTAGCTGAGACTATAGGTGCATGCCACCATGTCTGGCTAACTGTTAAAATTTTTTGTAGAAATGGGGTGTTGCTTTGTTGCCCAGGCTGGTCTTGAACTTTTGGCGTGAAGCGAGCCTCCCGCAGTGGCCTCCCAAAGCGCTGGGATTACAGGCCCAGCCACTGCACCCAGCTGGTGGTATTTATACCACAGGAATTGGCGAACGATACAAACCGGAGTTCTGCTCCCACTCCCCGTCCTGCCAAGAGCCAGTTGTTAAACATTTACCCGCACACCACTGCATCCAGCCCACGTTTATGTATCATACCCTAAAGATATAGGGAAACACTTTGTCAAACACCTCCAAATTAACACATAGAGCTTCATGGAGCTTAGCCTACAAAACAGTTCAACATGCATTATCCAATTTGGTTCTCTCCACACTCCAGGAAACTGAAGGGATGACTATTACTGTATCCATTTTAAAGACAGGAACACAAGGCGTAGAGAGTTCTTTAAAGACTGATTCAGAGCTGGAGAGCGAGTTAATGTTGAAAGTGAGGCTCAAACTCCTGTTTTCTGATCATAAGGTCCGTGTTCTTTCTGAGTCACTATCTGACTGCTCCCCCATTCGTTATCGAATGTACTGCGAAGTCCTCAGGGGTTGGTACTCCGGGTTTAAGACACAGACAAGTTGAGAGGGATTCTACAACAGCCCCTGCCCTTCCCATTAGCAGCCATCATGAGGATTTATGAGCACTGCTTCTCAAACTGGGATTCAGATCTGTTCTAGGGGGAGGGTCCTCAAGTTTTTGAAAAGACTCTGCATTTTGTTTATAATTTCATTGTTGACAAGAAGCCAACTGAAGTGACAGCAGGCCAGGTGCAGTGGCCCAAGCCTGTAATTCCAGCACTCTGGGAAGCTGAGGTGGGCGGATTGCTTGAGCTCAAGAGTTTGAGACCAGCCTGGGCAAGATAGCAAGACTCCTCTCTACGAAAATTTAAATATATTAGCCGGGTATGGTGGTGCACACCTGTAGTTCCAGCTACTTGGGGCACTGAGGTGGGAGAACTGCCTGAGCCCAGGATGTTGAGGCTGCAGTGAGCCATGATCGCACCACTGTACTCCAGCCTAGGCGACAGAGCTGAGATCCTGTCTCATAAATAAATAAACAAATAAAGTGACAGCAATTCTTAATGCAGTGTTTCTCAAACTGGGGGCCCTGAGTTCTCAGGGAGAAATGCTGGTTTGTTTTCTGGGCTGGGGGATAGAAGGGAGGACAGGGGACAAGTGGCAGGCAAGGAAAGCTCAAGGTGAGTGTTACGAACTGGGCAGGGCAGATAGGTTTTGCTCAGCCCTCACTGTGTCCTAAACACTTTAATTAGGCACCAACCTTAAAGACTGAGAGATTTCACATCAAAGCCAGATTTCCAGAATCTCTTAAAAAATGAGAAATTTGGCAAGACCAGACCACCAGTCCATTTAGAGACAATCGGGTGGAGCTGAGGAGGGGCTGCCCCTTTTCAGAGGGGCGAGAGCCCTCCGATTTGCCACATCTCCTCCCCATTCCCTATTTTAGGGGTTACAAACTCAAATGACCCTAGGGACACAGCAGTGAAAGTCAATGAGTGGAACAGGCTGTGTGTGAGATGATAAATGGCCTTTGACCTTGAGCCTCAGTGCTGGGGGCAAAAGAGGAGGGGCTGGGTTGAGACCCTGAATAAAGGGGTGGCTGTCTTGTCTCTGTGAGGGCCCCTGAGGTTTGGGCACAGCAAATTTCTGAGGGCTAAATATGGTGGAGAGACCCCAGTTGGGACTCTTGCCCTGACCACTGGGAAAGTTCCTTCATGCCCTGTGCCTCAGTTTCCTTATCTGGAGAGGATGATGATTATAACAGCACTTACCTTATAGTGTTGTGGTTAGGATAAATTAAACCACACAAAATTCTCTCTCTTTTTTTTTTAATGTAGAGATGAGGTCTCGCTTTGTTGCCCAGGCTGGTCTTGAACTCCTGGCTTCAGGCGATCTTCCTGCCTTGGCCTCCCAAAGTGCCGAGATTACAGGCATGAACCACTGCGACTGGCCTAAAATTCTTGAAATAGTTCTCAAAGCCCACAATGATCCCTCAGTCTTTACTGGCTGCTATTACTCTGCCCCCAGTCACTTCACTCTTTCACTTCCTGCAGGTCACTGTGTTTGTGGCAGCTGTTCTTGAATCTGAGGTGGGGGCTGTGATGGCAGGTGGCAGGGGGAGACATCCCTGCCCACTGAATGGATCTAAAGTGTCTCAAAGACAGACTTTTCTTTTGAAGGAAGAGGCCTGGGTAAGATGCAAGTGAGGTGATGGTGAAGGGGGAGTTAGAAGGGAAACTGAGGCAGGAAAAGGCAAAAGCACAGTGCTGCTTCCTGCTGGGCAGAGTGGAGTGGGTGCTGTAGACCTGAAGCTGGAGCTCAGCTTCTCTTGCATCTACTTAGGCCCCCACGGGGGACACCTTCCGACCCACCAGCACCTCCTTCAAGCCTACACACCCTCGAGTCCCCTGCTGTGGATTCAGCTGCCGGCCCACCCTGAGCCATCTCCAGGGACCACAGGGCTCTCTCCTGCGCCCTGCTGGCTCACTTTTTCTTTTTTCCAATTAAAAACTTTATGAAAGGCAAAGAAGACAGGCCTTTCACACCTGCAGACTGCATCAGGCTGGATGGGAGCTGTGGGCTGGAAAGATGGGCTAAAGCTAAGATAGCTCCATGTTGGGGCTGACAGATATGGAACAGGAAGAATGGACTTCTGCGTGTCTGGGTGGTGGCCAGTGGCGTATGCGGGCAGCATGAATGGCAGGCTGGGACCTGCAACCAAGGGAGGCATCGGTGGCATTAGATGGTGCTCTGGGGTCCACAGATGACACCTGGAGCAGGGACAGCGCTCAGCATCCCATGTGAACACTTGCAGTGGCGAGGGGCGCTCGGTGAACGCAGGCATTGTGCAGAAGGTCCGCCATCACCATTGCTTCTTTATAGAAGGGCATGATGTCCCATTCTACAGATGAGACATGTCACTCAGAAAACTGAGTACCCCTTCCCCATCTGCCTGGCTGGAAAGGGAGAGCTCACCTTCTAGCACAGGCACAGGTGGCTCCAAGTGTGGGCCATGGCCTTGGGGGATCTTCAGCGCTCCCCAGGGGGCACGAAGGCTGGGAATATTTGAAAGAGCCAGAGCTGGATGTTCCGAGCGGAGACAGAGCCTGTGCGAAAGCTGCCTCCAAATGTTGAAAGGTGGTCAGATGGCTTGGAGGGAGAAAGGGGTTTCTCCCTGCAACTCCAAAAGGCAAACCCAAGGTCAGAGGGAGTGACATTCTCCCTCACCATAGGAATAACTGAAGAGGGAATGAGCATGGAGCACTCCTCCAACCACGGAGTTACAGGAGGGAGACGCGGGGCACAGGGCAGCTCAGGCGACAGCAGGACAAGGTTGGCAGGCAAGAAAGGCCCACTCTTGCATCGTGGTGGTGTAGAGAGGGTGAGGCTGACAGCACCAAGAGGGATCTGGGGCTCATTTTAGAATCAGCCGTAGAGCCACCCCCTCTCTGTCCACTGCCTCACACATTTGCTCATTCATTCAAGAAATACTTCTCTGTACTGTGTGGAACAAGACAGATGCAGCCATGCCTTTAAGGAGCCCTGCAACTCAGTATTAGCCTCTTTGGTAGGTGCTGCAAGACAGAAGAGAGTGGGTGGGCCTTCACGCCCAAGCCGGGTGGGAGAAAGCCTCCCTGGAAGAGGTGGAACTGACGTGGAGGCTTCAAGGATGAGTGCAGTTAGCCAGGTGAAGGGAGCTGGGAAGGGTGTCGGAGGTGCAGGGAACAGCATGTGTGAGGGCCCTGAGTGAGGGCACGAGAATGAAGCCACTAGGAAGTGGAAGGCGGAACAAATCAGATTTGTGTTTAGGAAGCCCATTCTCGTTACTGTGCTGGGCCGGGGTCTGATGCAGGGACAAGGCTGAGTATGCGGCACTCAGATGGGGGCAGAAGATCACAGTGTGTGGACCAGGGCAGTGACGTGGGAAATCAGAAGCAGATGGAATTGACACTTATCTAGGAAATAAAATCAAATAAAAGGATGTGGCAGTTGTTCCAATGGAGAGGTAAGAAAGGGGGTGGACTTGGTCACTTCAGGTCTGGACCTGAGCCTCAATATCACTGTTTAGCAATGTGGCCCATCCACCCCACTGCAGAGGGGCCCTACTCCCTTGTCTTCATGTGTTCACAAGGAAACATGTACTGTATTCCCAGGAGAGGAGATACTGGAATGACCCTGGCCCTCTCCCCACCCTTCCTCCCTGTGGGAGGAGGCTTTGTCTGATGAGGTGGTGAGGGCCTGCACCAGCCGCACAATCCCTTTCCCAGGCGGGTGGGGTGAAGGTGCTGAAGGCAAGGCTGCTTACCCTGTGGCCAGCATTCCTCTTCTAGACGAGTCTGTTTTAGGACACAGATCATCTCCTTCTGTTCCCATGCCCAGGTAAGCAAACCCAGGTTAGGGAGTAGGACCTGCCTTCTACACTTGGGCCTCAGGTTCAAGCCTCTCTTCAGCTTGAATTTCCTTGCACTTAAGTTAACTGATGCCTGTGCCTGTTTTTCCATGGGTTCAGGACCTGTGGGGAAAGACCAGGACTGGTCCCTCCTCATACCCAAACTCACCTGTGGGGCCTGTGTGCTTAAGGAGCTCTTTATTTCCTATAAGGATATTACCCCTACCTGGAGAATGTGACTCTGTACTTAATTTCCAATTTTAAATAAACCTTCCTGCTGCCTGATATTTATCAGAAACATTGTTGTAAATATCAATATAGAGAGTATTTCCTGGCCAGGCTCGATGGCTCATGCCTCCCAACACTTTGGGAGGCTGAAGTGGGAGGATTGCTTGAGCCCAGGAATTTGAGACCAGCCTAGGAAATATAGTGAGACCTCATCTCTACTAAAATAAAAACAAAACAAACAAAAGCTAGGGGGCATTGTGGCTTACGCTTGTAGTCCCAGTTACTCAGGAGGCTAAAGCAGGATCGCCTGAGCCCAGGAGTTGGAGGCTGCAGTGAGCCATGATCACACCACTGCACTCCAGCCTGAGCAACAGCGTGAGACTCTGTCTCTTACAAAAGAGAAAGAGGGTATTTCCTGAAGGTAGCAATGCATTCCTCTAGTTGCTCCAAATTTTAAGTTTGGGTTAAGCAATATTACCAGTAGGTTTATGGCTGGGGAGTATTGTGTTGGTCCTTGCCTTAGCCCTAGGAAGCAGTTGTGACATTGTTGAGAACATTGCATAACTTTGTCACATGGTATCCCCTTCATTTCCTCATACAGGAGAGACCTCCCAGTGGCTCGGGACCAGAAATCACGTGATTTGAGCAAGTTGTTTGATTTTTATCTCATGCACAGTGTAAATCATGTAACTGCTTGCTTCTCTGCTGGCATCGGGGTCTCTGGGCCTCGTGGTTTGCATTTGGTGCAGTAGCCACATCCTAGGCAACACCATGTTTTCTCTACTCTATCTCTGTCTCAGTTTCCTCACTATATGTATCTTTGCAAACTACCTGAAACCCTTTTCAGGATGAGGCGGAGCATAAGAACACCTCCCTGTGTCTTCCTCTCCCTCCCTTATGGCACAGTGTCCCTCACTCTAGGGCATTTTCCCAGAACGATCTTCAGTCTGGGAAAAAGGTTCACATGGGAGATGGTCCAAGTTTGTAAGTTGCAGTAGGAGGCCTGTGTGGGGCGCACGCTCATGAGGCACGTTCTCAAATCCCTGGAAGTAAGTGTAGAGTGCCAAGAATCGGTGTCACAGCTTGGAAAGTCAAGAAACCGAACGCGCTATCCCAAAATGTGGGCCTGGCTGAAGTGATCAGCCCTCCTCTACGGTCCTTTATGAGTCACCAAGGATTCCCACACCCCTCATTAGCAAGGAGCACAGGGGGACACAGCAATGGTCCCTACAAGATGTCCCTCAGCCAAGTACCCGTCAGAGGCAGGCGGTGGCCTCAGCTTGGCCCCTCTGGTACAGCAATTCCAGATGGTTAGGAGTCCAGCCACAGCTGAGGGAAGTCCACTCATCCCCGATGGGTGGCTCAGCCTCCTCCCAGTGACACCTCTAGCTCATTATCTCCACCACTTAATTTTCACTAATCATGAGCACTCACTTGCAGTCACACCGCCAGTTTTGGGGTGAGGACGGACGCCTAGGCACCAGCACCAGGGCCTGTCAGCATCCAAATGCCCAAGTGCCTGCCTGGCTGCCAAGAGCCTGCAACGCACACCGCCGATTGCATGTGAATGCAACTCCAAGATAAGATGCCAAACTTCCACCACCTTGTCACTCTTGGAGCTGGGGCTTCTGACTCATGGCCAGGGTCACTCTGGGGCCAGGTGTCACTAGGATGGACCTACTGCCCCAGGGCTCCAGCTCCAATCTTCACAGGCCTCCTCTGCCCTCCTTCCCCTGTGCCCATCCTGCAGTGACCCTTCAGGAAAGGTCTGGAACAGCCCAAGGCTCCCTCCGACTGCTGCTGGGGAGCCCCTTAGGGCCTAACGAAGGGCATGTCAAATATTAGGAGGACTCTCCACGTGGGGGACCACTTCAGGTGCACCCCTCCAGGAAGCTTAGCTGCCTCCCATCAGCCTGCCCCCCGTTCAACCTGGCCTCTAACCTCAGACACCCCAGAACTGTAGAGTGCTTGGTTTAATATACTAGTTCTCACCTTTTCTTTATGAATTTCAGCTAAAACACCAACCACCACAAACTGAGCAACCAGTCCCCAGTTCACCTCAGGTGCTGGGGAGGTGTTGGGGATAAGGGTGGGACGTTTGCTTGGAGGCCTTGACTTTCCTGCAGGTGGACTGGGGCTTCAGGTGTGGGGCTGGGCATGCCGCCACCAGGTGTGTTTCCTTGGTGATGGGTACCAGGTGACTGGTGCCTGCTGCTGCCCTGTGTGGCTTGGATCCTCTGGGCCAGGCCAGCTTCCCCAAAAGCCGGTGCCCTGCCCCATTTTGCCCTGGGCCTGCACCTCACTGGAGGAGGAGGGGCACTGGGGCAGTTTGAAGGGGAACGGGGCTGTCCCTGGCCTTCAGAGCAGCCTGGCAGGAGGATGAGTTCCTCTGCCCACTTCTGAGGAAGGAGAAGCAGAGAAAGCACTTTCATTCTGCCCACAGCCCCAGGCCTCCCCGAGCCTCAGGCTCCTCTGGGCCATTTCCAATTGCACCTTTCCAGGACTTTCCTGATGTCTCCCTCCTCAGTGCTCTGAGGCCTGTGTGGTCTGTGGCCCTTTGTGCCCAATTGTCAAGGCTGCTCTCCAAGGCCGCAGGCCCTGAGGACAGGGACTGGGCTCCACATACCTTGAGGCCCTGCCAGTACCCACCCTGTTGCCAGGTGCCTCCCACCGGTGAGGCCAGCCAGCGTGATGATGGGTGGGGCTGGGCAGGCAGAGCTCAGACCAGACTTCAGTTCCGACCCCTTACCATGCCAGCTGGGGCTCTGGGGCAGGTGGCTTTTCTGCCCAGAGCCTCAGTGTGTCCTTCTGGACAAGTGGGGACTGATGCGGACAAATGCAGACCATCTTCCTCTCACTCCTTGAGGAGGAGGCTTAGGAAGGCCCTACAAGCAAGCAATGGCCCAGAGTGCATCAGAGCTAGAGGTCCGCCTGGGGCAGGGCAGGGTTGGCTCCCACTGCGGGCTGTGCAGTAGACGGCTGCCACCTCCCTCCTGCCACAAGCGGAACCCTGCCTGGGGCCCTGAGGGTTTTTAGAGGTTTCTGAGCACAAGTTGTGCCAAGGAATCAGCAGGTTCCTTCCAGCTCGCAGAGAGCATGTGGTGTGTGTGCATGTGAGCATGTGCACGTATGTGCACGCTTCTTCATGTACGCAGTGAGAGGAGATGGGGTGTTGTCTGGCTGTCTAGGTGGGGAGGAAGTAGAGCATGCCAGAGCCCAGACCATGCTCACATGAACCCAAAACTTGGTTTCAGGTAGCTTGTCCCTGGCTCAGAAAGGCTTTGAGAGGCAGGACCTAAGGACACCAGGAGGTGAGAGGACACGCAGGAAAGGGAGTGTGGGATGGAGGGAAGGACATTAATGACAGGTGTCAGCAGGGGTGGGGAGAGGGACAGAGAGGCCCTGCCATGGGCACTAAGGAGTCCAGCTGGGGGCAGAAATGCCGGGAGGGGGCCATGTGGTGGGAGCAGGAGCCGAGGGCTGGCCGACTCGCCATGGGGCCCCAGAGCTTCTGCTCCTGGGCTGGCAGGGGAGGAAGCACCTACCTGTACCACGGTGGGTGGGTGCTGAAGACCTGGAGTCATAGATGGCAGGGTCCTGCACCTGGAGAGTCATCCAGTGCCCCCTCGGTGCCTGGGCCCGGAGCCCACCGCGCCTGCAGCACCAAGGGCCATTCTGAGGATCTGAAAGGAGAGGTCAGACCCTGAGCCCCAGCGTAGATTCAAGGAGGCCTCGGGAAGCTGCGAAGAAGCCAAACTCCCCGGAGTGGAGGTCTGAGGAAGCCAGGACACTGTGCAGAAAAAAGGGCCTAGGATGGAGGCAACCAGCATGGGCCAGCTGGGGCTGGGGTGGCACAAGGCAGGGCGCAGGTGGGAGCAGTATGTGTGGGAAGCAGACAGAGACCGGCCCCAGGGTCCTGCGGGACAAAGAACTTGAAAGACAGAGCAGGGACCCCAGGCAGAGCCCAAGCCCTGACTGGAGAGGCCAGTTTTGGGGGTGTGGCAATGGTTGGAGGGAGAGAGCTGGGCATTGGAGGCAAAGGCCAGAGGGCAGGTCAGGATGGTAACTGGGATGGCCCTGGAGCCCAGGGGCATGGAGGGACTCCAGAGGTGGCAGGCAGGTAGTCAGCCTGCTCCATGACTACCAGCTGGCCTAGGCGCCTCCCTCCTGGTCCCTGCTAGTGCCTGCTCTGTCCTGTCCTGCCCTGCTTCCTTCCTTGCTGGAAGAGCAGGAAGGCCTCCAGCTCGTTGGGTCAGGACCCAACTTATGAAATGAAGTCCCTGAGCAGACGGTGGGGCATGGGAGCTAAGAAGAGAGCAGTGCTGTAGGAGCGGGGTGTGGGTGACAGAGGTGGGGCTTGGGAGTGGCTCAGGGTCTGGTTAAGCCATGTGAGCAAAAGAGGCTGCTGCCCATGGATCAATCCTGAGCAGGGTTGGGAGGAAAGGGGATGAGGAAGGAGGAGGCTGGAGACAGGGAGTGCTGGGGATGGGAGAGCTGGTGGGGTCCGGGAGACAGAGTGGGAGGGGAGGATGAGGAGAGGAAGATGCGGTAGGGGAGGGGCTACCAGTCCAGGGTCGGGGGGGAGGTGCCCTGCAAGAAGGTGGGGGACAGAGGGACAACCTGAATAGGAGAGGGGTATCCAGGGAAGACGGTGGCCAAGTGGAGACAGAGAAGGTGCCAGGCAGGGGAATGATGGGAAGGTGCTAGGTAGGGGAAGGAGGGAGAGGATGCCAGGCAGGGGAAGGAGGGAAGGTGCCAGACAGGGGGAGTAGGAAGCAGAGCATGCCAGGCAGGAGCAGGTTGAGAAAGTGCTCGGCAGGGGGGAGGTGACAGGCAATGGGAGGAGGTGGTGCCAGACAGGGGGAGGAGGGGAAGGTGCCAGGCAGGAGGGTGCCAGACGAGGGAAGGAGGGGAGATGCAGGTGGAGGGAGGATAGGAAGGTACTGGAGAGGGAAGGAGGGGAAGATGCCAGGCAGCGATGGGGAGGAGGTGG